>NC_000011.10:36726666-36878181 GCF_000001405.40 Homo sapiens | reverse complement strand
GAGCAGTTGTTGCTGTTGTTATTATAACAATAATATGGTGGTTTTTTGTTTGTTTGTTTGTTTTGACGGAGTTTCGCTCTTGTTGCCTAGGCTGGAGTGCAACAGCATGACCTTGGCTCACCGCAATGTCCACCTCCCGGGTTCAGGCGATTCTCCTGCCTCAGCCTCCCAAGTAGCTGGGATTACAGGCATGCGCCACCATGCCTGGGTAATTTTGTATTTTTAGTAGAGACAGGGTTTCTCCATGTTGGTCAAGCTGATCTCGAACTCCTGACCTCAGGTGATCCACCCACCTCAGCATCTCAAAGTGCTGGGATTACAGGCACGAGCGACTGCGCCCGGCTTGCAATATTATCTCTTGATCTTATGAAAGGGAAGCTCTTCTTTGGTGATATCAGGCTGTCTTATGTGTACTCAAAATAAGGGTACATATAGGGAGTAAACTGAAAGCTCAAAGCTACATGTCCTCCAGCCTAATATCTTTGTTGAAATCTCACCTAGGAATTTATGCCTTCTTTTTAAAACTAGAAGTAGAAATTACTTTTTTAAAAATAGAAAGTGTGGGGGTGGTGAGTCATTCACAACTTAGAATGAAGTGGTTTAAATTCAAATGTTTGGTTCCTAACAGCTATTAAAATTAGTACAGAGAAAAGGAGGATTTAGATGAGGAAAGGAAGAGTCATGATGATTTGTTGGTGAGGGAAAGAGAGACACCAAAAGAAAACAACAGTAGTTCATGCTCATTCATCATCCATCTATCCAATCATTCAATCATGTATTATGTAGCATCTACTATGCACAATGTCTAAATGCCTAGCAATTAACATAAAGAGACACCACTCCTATATTCAAGGAGTCTGCAGGACAGTGGGAGTAAATAAGCTTGGAATCAGTACAGTGCATACATAAGTGCTATAACCTCTGAGTATATCCATTGTTTTGGAATCACAGAACATGATGAGGGAAAGGTAGAAAGATAAGGATAAAGTCACTGAATGGGTCCTGGAAACAAAGTGTCCTGTGAGCTATCTCTGTCAGTTCTCAATAGAGGATAAACTGAAAGGGGCATATTTCAGGCTGAGGGAATGAAGGCATGAAAAAGCATGACTGATTGGAGACCTACAGGTAATTCTGTATGATTCAGGCATTGACAATTAAGAAGCAAGAAGGGGAAAGGTAGTAGGCCAAATAGAGAGGGGCAAAATTGGACTCACTGAATGGTTTGTAAGCAAAAAGGTGACATAGTCATATATTCCTTCTAAAAATAATATTCTTGGATATTATTGATTAGAAAAGGTAAAGATTAAAGAAAAGGAGCCCAGTATAAAGGCTGTTGAAGTATATATCAAGAGATGCTGACGATCTGAACTAAGGCAGTGTTCATGGTAATGGAAGATAGACTTATTTCAGGAACTAGATTTGATAGGATTTGTTGACCACTTGTTTTCAGGAGGCATATAGAATGACACTGAGGTTACTGGTTTGGGTGATTTAGTGGATCATAGTGGCATTAAACTCAGAAAGATGGAAGAGGGAATGTACTCAGAGGGCAAGTCTCACAAATGTGCAAAAGGCCAGCTTCCTAGAGGAAAAGGAAGGAATTGGACATAACTCATTTGAAAGAATGCTGGGAATAAAAGGACTATAACAATTGCAAATAGTTATTTGTGTTATTCTTATCTGACACACTAATAATCTGAAAGTCAACATCCTTCAACATTCCAGCTGCTTCCTTTAACTGAAGATTGACAGTTCAGCCCTGAAACAGCATCAGTACACAAACGAGAGTGCCATAAACTTTAATGAGCTTTAAAAAAATAGCTAAATAAGTGTTAATTTCTCTCAACAGCTGGAACATTTCTTCCTGGGGTTGCTAAGTATTAATAATATATTTCTGTAAGTAAATCCAGGGAAGTTGAACTGGTAGGAGACCTTGCTCAGATTATCCTGCTGAGTATTTCTGCCCCCCTGCCCCCGCCAACTGACCAGGATCTAAAGAGAAAAGTCAGACGATATTGCTGTCATATCCTACACATCCAAGGTACTCACAGCCAATGTCTCTAGAATGCCAATGAAAAGACCCCTAAAAATTTGGGGGGATCTCCAGAAAGTGATCAAAATACCTACATGCCATAAGGTAGTACTAAGCTGGAATTCCAAGGCTGTGGTATGACAAATCATCGAGGCTATATCCTCCAAACATTTTCCACACTTTTATCTGACCTCTATGTGGTTACTTTAGCAAAAGAATGGGGTAAGAAGGTGCCATTTACTGAAGACTTACTGTATACACAGATCGATGTTACATTTGCTGCATCTAATATTTCAGTCACCATAATCACCACCCCGTGAAGGGAATACTATTATTTCTATTCCCCTTCAACAGATCAAGAAACCAAAGCTCAAAAAATAGGAGTGATTTCTTCAGAGTTTGATAGTAAGTGGCAAAGCCAAGATTCAAGCAGAAATATCTTTGCAGCCAAAACCAGTTCTACCACCACACCGCAATGTCTTAATACCTTTATCATTTCAATCCCAATTTTTTTTTTTTTTTTTTTTTTTTTTTTTTTTTTTGAGACGGAGTCTCGCTCTGTCGCCCAGGCGGGACTGCGGACTGCAGTGGCGCAATCTCGGCTCACTGCAAGCTCTGCTTCCCGGGTTCACGCCATTCTCCTGCCTCAGCCTCCCGAGTAGCTGGGACTACAGGCGCCCGCCACCGCGCCCGGCTAATTTTTTTTGTATTTTTAGTAGAGACGGGGTTTCACCTTGTTAGCCAGGATGGTCTCGATCTCCTGACCTCATGATCCACCCGCCTCGGCCTCCCAAAGTGCTGGGATTACAGGCGTGAGCCACCGCGCCCGGCCTCAATCCCAATTTTTAAGAATGTGTCAGAAACACCCAAAAATACTTGCTAACTTTGCTCAGAAACTATAATAAATGTGATTCAACTTCCCTTTTGGGTCCAAAAACCTGATCATTTATTAAGCCTACCCAGAGACAACCTATCAATGAACACATAATCCCAGATACGGATTTAGGGCTTGTGACTTGAACAAGAAAGATAGATAAACATTATTACTTGAGCCCTACAACTCTCTAATATTAAATATTTCTATAATATTTCCTCTGGGCTTCTCTTGGCAGTGATGTATTTTGTTAGCATTCCTCCACTTTTTGCCACTATAATCTGTTCTGAATAGAAAAATATTCTCAGTCGGTCAAAAGTGCCATTTCCTTTTACAACCAAGGTTTTGCACAATGATACTAAATAATATAAATGATGTTTTATTTGATGACTGCTTTATGCTTTCTGCAGCCTCTAGTGGGACCAGACACTAGGGCTTCCCCTGTAAATTTTGCCAGCTCCCCAATCCAGTGCAGCTATCAAGTTCTCCCCTGGAAAATTTAAATCTCTGTTTAAAACATTAACTTCTTCTTCATTTAATTTTTTATTGCTAAAGGTTCACAGCTGACTTTATGGCCCTGCGATGATTAATTTTTAATGCCTTTCTTCCTTTCTTCTTTGATCGACTTCCTCCATTTTCAATTTGAATGCAATTGTACTTTTTCTAAAAAGCATTTGTCACTTGCTGGTTTGCATATTTCAGACAACCAGAGGTGGCTGATGCAGAGTGGAAGGCAGGCATTCCTGCAGAGAGTAACTGAAATATAGACAGTAACTCTATGCCTTTCATGTGACTCCTGTTGATAGCCAACCCTCTAGCATCAGTAAATCTTCCAGCTCTAGGTCTTGGCAGGCAACGAATTCCCTGAGAGGGTTATCGTACTAAATCCTGTCATTGTCATGCATAAGGTACAGATTGAGTCACATCTTTCAAACTACTGAACCATCATTAGGGAAAACAAATACGTGAAACATACCTTAAAAACAATTTCTATCTGCTTCCACTCACCTACCAAAAAAACAAAGCCAAAAGAAAATGAGGATTTGTTTTGCAAGTCAAAAAGTCCCCAGCTTTTTATATTCAGACAGCATATAGCCATTTAAAATGATGTAGAACATTTAATGACATGGAAAAAATATTCATATATATTCAGTGAAAAAAAAGCAGGTTACAAAACAGTGAGTATAGCATAATTAATTTTTAAAAGGTATATGTATGCATAAAAAGACTGAGAAAATGAATAATGGTTTTCTCTGAGGATGATAGAAATGTTTATTCTTATTCTTCTTTGCTTCTCTCTGCTAAGTTTTCCACATGACTATACATTGCTTTTGTAATTATAAAAATAACTTATTTAGAATATAAATTTCTTACATTTAGGTAATAAATGAAACTAAGTAAATAACCAGAGATCATATTCTTGAGAATGTAGACAAGATATGAGAGATGTTGAAAATTAATAGTAATATTATAAATCCTTGAGGGGATGGATACCCCATTCTCCATGATGTGCTTATTTCACATTGCATGCCTGTATCTAAACACTTTATGTACCCCATAAATATATATACCTACTATGTACCCCCAAAATTTTTTTAAGAAAAAAATAATATTTATCTATATATTAAGGGCATTGATAGGAGCATTATGTTCCTAACTCTCAAAGTATATAGTGTTATCCACATGTTACAAGAATGAAAGCCAAGGCTCAGGAAAATACATAAGTTGTCTAAGTTTGTATAGATCATCAGGATCAAGGAAGATAAATCCTAGATCCCTGTGACTTCAAAATGTTTGTCATTGTCACGGTGCTATACTGCCTTAATTGAAGTGCATTTCTATACACAGTTGAACTACCACATTTATTCAATTTTTTAATAGAGAAGTAATGACTCCCAGCCCCAATGATATTAATAAATCAAAAGCATATTTCTAAATTATTTTTATCCTTACTTTTTTATTTTATTTATTTATTGATTTAGAAATAGAAGCTTGTTCTGTCTCCCAGGCTGGAGTGCAGTGGCACAATCTCGGCTCACTGCAACCTCTGTCTCCCAGGTTCCAGCGATTCTCCTGCCTCAGCCTCCTGAGTAGCTGAGATTACAGTCACCCACCACCATGCCCAGCTAATTTTTGTATTTTTAGTAGAGATGGGGTTTCACCACATTGGCCAGGCTGGTCTCAAACTCGTGATCTCAGGTGATCCACCCACCTCGGACTCCTAAAGTGCTAGATTACAGGTGTGAGCCACCATGCTCGGCTATCCTTGCTTTTTAAAAAAAGTATGTGCATGTGTAAATTAATATATTAATTATTTCCATTACAATTAATGAGCATGTTACAGTTTACGATGCATTTTTTCATATCTACTAGTCTCCCTGTTTGATTTATTCACTATGTAACTCTAATGTCATCAGAAATTATATTTATAATGTTCAATAACTTGTGTAGAAAAATAAATTAATATATAAAGAAAAAATTTAGACCTCTGTTCCTATTTTGTCTCTAGATAAACCAAACAATATATCTATACATATATGTATGTATTTTAAACTGGTTACCAGGTAATATAAGTCGTAACAAAAAATATTGCTTATTTAATAAGATAATTTCCACTAATACTATAAACTATGGGTTTTATCTTCTGTTTGTGAAACTGCCAGTAACTGACATTTAGCCCTTGTCTGAGTCATAATTTGACAGACAATCACAGTCAAACTCTTCTAAATTGATGATCATTTGTAGTCTTAAAATGTGAGCTTCTCTTGCCATTAGCAATGTTGTTTTATGGTGCTAAATGCTCTCCTCAGCTCCTGTTGATGTAACAGCAATTACATAATAATGTCTAAATATTTTTACATTCAATGGCTCTATAATCAACTAAGTCACAGAAATCATTTGTTGACATGTCAAAGATAATTAGATCAAATATAAGCCTTCCAACACTGGAGACTCAGGGCTATCTGCTTTGGAATCCTATGTTATTCTTGTTTTAAATAACTTCAGTGTCCTCATCTGTAAAATGGAGATTATGATGATTACAACAGTATTTAAATAATTCACTATACATGGTGCCTGGCATAGAAGCCACATGTAAACTTTAGCTCTCACTTTTATAAAAATGAATATTGTTGATGCCCATGATGAATGGGGGTTGTGCGAATTTTCAAAGATGTGTCTCATTAAACAGACAAATCTGCCCATTCTTCATAGCTCCATCCATCCACACAGCCTCCCTCAAATTTCAGAAGTACTCAATGTGCAAAGAAGCCTGCAGCATCTAGCTGTTGTTGCAATATCCACCATTTCTGCTACCCACCTCATCCCCATTCTCCCTGTCTCTCCAAGCCTCTCAGATTTAAAAGCCCATAGATGCTACAGTTCCTATGAGCAAAAACACAAGGGTGACTCCAGAATTGAGCACCCTCTGCTACATGAATCACGACTGTTCCTGGGATCAGGCACAGGTGGCATTTGCTTGTCAGAGTGTCAGCACCTTTGCTAGGGGCTCTAGTTCCCCTAAGGTCTGAGCTCCTTCTGATGTAGATGAAATTCAGGAATAGAAGCCAGTGGACAGGAGCCAGGCAGCCTGACTGGCAGGCACAAAGGCAGTTCCCCAGTGGTACCATCCTACCCCAGAACTGAGCCTAAAGCTGAGTAGTGGCTGAAAACAAGGTATCGAATTCTGTGGTCCTGGAAGGCATTTATGGAAATGCCCTTTGATGGTTAATTTTAAATGTCAACTTGACTGGATTAGAAATACCTAGAAATTTGGTAAAGTATTATGTTTGGGTGCATCTGTGAGGGTGTTTCCTGAGGAGATTGGCAATTGAGTATGGGTAGACTAAGTTGGGGAAACATCCACCCCCAATGGGGGCAGGCACCAACTCATTAGCAGAAGGCCTTGATAGAACAAACAGGAAAGATGAATTTATCTCTCTCTCTCTCTCTCTCTCTCTCTCTCTCTCTCTCTATCTCTCTCCCCTCCCACCCCCTCCATCTCTCCCTCTCCTGAGGCTGAGATACATCTCTCTTCTCCTACGCTCGGATATAAGCTCTCCAGCCTTTGAACTTCAAGGCTTATACCAGCAGCCCCCAGGTTCTCAGGCCTTGAGATTTGCACTGAGCCATGCTACCTACTGGCATCCCAGAGTCTCCAGCTTATAGAAAGCCTTCCATGGACTTCTCAACCTCCATATTCACGTGAGCCAATTCCCCTAATAAATGTCCTCTCATTTATCTATACAGTCATCTCTGGGTATCCATAAAGGTTTTTTTCCAGGATAACCTCCCCACACGCAGATACCAAGCTCAAGTCCCTTATATAAAATGGGGTAGTATTTGCGCAAATGCAGATTCTTTCCTATACTTTGTGTCATCTTTAGATTACTTATAATACCTAGTACAATGTAAATGCTATGGAAATAGTTGTTATAATGTATTCTTTTTATCTGCAGCATTTTTTATTGTTTTCCCAAATATGTTTTATCTGTGGTTGTTTGAATCCACAAATAAAAAGTCCATGAATATATGAATATGGAGGGCCAACACTATATCTATCCTATAGATTCTGTCTCTCTGAAGATCCCTGACTAACCCAGTCCCAAAGTCAGGACTTGGGATACGCAGAGTGGCTCAGGTACCAACCAATCAAATAGATCACTGGAGCAGAGTTTGTTCAGGGATACCCTTCAGACAAACCTGTTAATCATTAACCATTTAGATGACAGAATGCAGGCATATCCAGGAAATTCCGGGGATGAGTGGAAAAGGCAGTCTGAATGGCAGAAACACTTGAGGGAGGCAGCAGTTATTTGCCAACTAAGATGAAGATGCTTCGTGTTCTACCTACCCTACCATAGGACTACTTTTGTGTGTACCAGCTGAAGCTAAGCATAATTCTTGAAACCCATGCCCTCCATCCACACAACTTTCCAATTGCATCTCTCCAACCATAACTTCAGAACAGATGCCTACCACACAGATGTCCATGCAAGTGAACATGAGAAACTTGCTGGTAGCACAAAAATAAGATGCAGATCTTCCAAAATAAAAAGAGAAAGAAATGGGATCCAACCAGAGTATGTCAATCAAATTGCAAATGACTTTTAATGAGTCCTACATAGTCAAGCAGATTTTCTTCAGTACCTTTTTGTGGTGGTGGTGGTTGGGGGACAGGGTAAGGGGACTCAAAGGAGAGAACTAAGAATGACATAATTTCTGTACTTCACTTAACCTTTGTCCTACCCCGTGGGTAGGAGAGCTCCTACCCCTTGGGGCACATTTGACAGTGTCTCTGAACTCTCCTATTACCCAGTTTGGCTCCACAGACCACCAAGACAGTGCTTAGCCACACTCTGTCATTCTTCCAATCATCAAATATAAACCTGAGTACCTCCTATGCACTTGGCATTGTGGTAAGTAAGGTGTGAGTAATCATAATTAGAGCAAAATAAAATAAATATAAAATAGGAATGTACGCAATATGCCTTGGCAAGGAAGGAGATAGCTTCATGGAGAAGGTCTCTTTGCTGAGACTTAATTCAATAGAAAGACCCATTAGAATAGTGCTTTTGAGGGCCCTTGCTTTGAATGCAAACAAACCTGGTGTATTAGTTGTGGCTCTACAGAGAAACAGAACTAATGAGATAAATAGATATGTAATTTATTATAAGGAATTGGCTCACATGATTATGAAGCCTGAGAAGTCCCATTATCAGAAGACCCAGGAAGCCAGTGGTATAGTTCTGAGAACCAGAGAGCTTATGATGTAAGTTCCAGTTAAAGAAGGCTGATGTTCCAGCTCAAGTAGTCAGGCAGAGAGAGTAAATTCCCCCTTCCTCCAAATTTTGCTCTATTCAGGCCCTCAATGGATTGGATCATGCCCACCTACACTGGGGAGGACCATTTGCTTTCCTCAGCCCACTGTTTCAAATGCTGATCTCACCTGAAAACACTCTCACAGACATACCAAGAAATAATATTTAATCTGGGCACCTCATGTCCCATCAAGTTGACATGTAAAATTAACCATCATACCTGGCACTAAAGTACTTACAACCAGGACACAGTATCAGTGTAACAGATAACTTATTTGAAGGAGGCAACTGAGATGCCTTTGAACAACAGAGAATGCATATATTTTAAGTAGATCTTTTTTTTTTTTTTTTGAGACTGAGTTTCACTCCTGTCTCACAGGTTGGAGTATAATGATGCAATCTTGGTCACTGCATACTCCGCCTCCCAGGTTCAAGCAATTCTCCTGCCTCAGCCTCCCAAGTAGCTGGGATTACAGGTGCCCTCCACCACGCCCAGTTCATTTTTGTATTTTTAGTAGAGATGGGGTTTCACCATGTTGGCCAGGCTGGTCTTGAACTCCTGACATCAAGTGATCCACCCATCTTGGCCTCCCAAAGTGCTGGGATTACAGGCGTGAGCCACCATGCCCAGCCTAAGCAGGTCTTTTAATGTTTCCCTGGCTCTAGTCTTGCTCCTTTGCAATCTAGCAGAAGTTGCAATCTTTCCAAAGGACAGATCCAATGTCACTGCTAAAATTCCTCCTCCACTTGCCTGAACCCATCAAAAGCCCACGTGCAGCTTCCAAAGCTCTCTGCTAGTACTAGCCAAGTGTGCTGATCAACCTGCAGCTCACCTCCAGCTTCATCACCCTCCACACCTACATTCCAGCCACCTGAGTTTCCCCAGAATGATACGATCATTCCTGCCATTGCACAAAGTATTCTTACCGCCTGGATGCTCTCTTGCATGCCTCACGTTTTTCCACATGTTGAAAGCTGAGTCTAAATTCAAGACTCAGGTTAAATGTGGCCTCCTTGGGGAACCTTTCCCAGGCCCGAGGCAGAGGTAACACTCTATGTTCTATCTTACAAGCACTCTGGGTTCTTCATTCCATTATAACTCTCAGGATGCTGGCTCCCCTGTGAGGACAGTAATGTGTTTTCATTTCTGAATGCCCAGTCCCTAACACAAGAGTCCAAGCTTTTTTCTGCAAAAAGCCAAATAGTAAATATTTTAGGCTTTGCAGGTCACACGTGGGCTTCGTAACAACTACTTACCTCTGCCACTGTGGCGTAAAAGCAGCTATATACAATAGTAAGGGAATAGGCTTGGCTATGTTCCAATAAAACATTATTTAGTTTGCCAACAACTGTGCCCTAACAGAACCTTGGGCACACAGCAGATGTAGGTGAATGACTAGCAAAGCAGGACTCCTCTGCCCTTTATTTTGAAGGGAGGGTAGAATCCAGCTCTGTTGATGGATGGCATTTCACCTTTCCTCTCTACTAACTGAAATGTGAAGCCTGAAGTTTGCAAGAAGGGATGAAAATGTGCATAAGAGCAGAAAGGGTCTCTGAGAGGTCGTATCAAGATTAATCTCTTCCCTCTAAGGTTCAAAGGTATCCAAACATCAAAATATGTGGGGGAAGACCTAGGGTGCCCCAATTGAGGCCTATTAGCAGAAATTATCTAACAAGTCTCTTGAGATAAAATCACAATAAATCTGTGCCAAGACATTGTTTTTGGATTTGCCAAAAAGCTAACCTCAGACCATTGCCAAACCATATATTTGAACAACATATGTACTTATAACTCTCAGGCAATGTGTTGAGCTAATTGAAAAGTCTGGCTAGAGAAACTGTTCTCCTGAGTCAAGGCTCTCATTAGGCACCTGTCCCTGAGTATTACTCAGGACAGATTTTTCTTCCAATCCTTTTCACATTCTGCCACACGTCAGTCTTCCCTCAAACCCTGTGGAGTGGCCCTCGCGGTAGTCTGCCTTTCTATGAAGCACTAGGCAGCAGTTGCATGCACAGTAGAGAACAGGCCTGTGGTCAGAAAGACTGAACTTGGACTGACAATCTGGATTAAGTTAGCATCCTGAGGTTCTTGTATTTATTATGAGAAGAGAATTCTCAGAGGAAAAACTGCATTTCCTGCTACTATAAGCAGATAGGATAATGAATATTGCATATTGATGCATCCCTGTCAAATGACGTTTATCTGCCCTAAAAAACTAATAATGCAGTCCAGGCACAGTGGCTCACACCTGTAATTTCAGCACTTTGGGAGGCTGAGGCAGGTGGATCACCTGAGCTCAGGAGTTAGAGACCAGCCTGATCTACGTGATGAAACCCCATCTCTACTAAAAATACAAAAATAAGCTGGGCATGGTGGTGGGTGCTTGTAATCCCAGCTACTTGAGAGACTGAGGCAGGAGAATTGCTTGAACCTGGGAGGCAGAGGTTGCAGTGAGCCAAGGATTGTGCCATTGCACTCCAGCCTGGGTGACAGAGCAAGACTCCATTTAAAAAAAAAAAAAAAGAAAGAAAAAAAAACACCTAATAATGCAGCCCCTCCCATTACAAAGTTATGAATGATGGAACACATGAACAGTACAAGAAACATGTCTGAAACAGAATTCCAAATCTTTGGCTTCAAAATGTTCTAAATTAAACATCCCTGAGTACTTCCTCTGGCCTGACTTCCTACATATGCCCTGTATAATTTTTTGCACCATGATGTGAAATACACAGCAAGCTGGTTACATGAGACTTGACATGGCTAATACCCTTTTTAAATTGTTTTGCCCTTGATGAGTACAAGTTCCTACTCCATAGGCCCCTGCAATCCAAATATCACCACAGTCATACTTTTGGCATAGCATTCAATAGCTTTCCCAAAAACTGTCAAGATCAAAGAAGTGACAGTGTTACATTTCATCACAGTGCATCTCTCAAGTATAACCCAATTGTTTTTCTCAGTGGCCACTAAATCTGTCCGTCAGTCTCCACAGGCTTCTCTGAGTTACCCTACACCATCACTGCCCCAGCCTCCAACACCAGGAAATAACTTCACTAAGCTCTTTCAAAGAAAATTATATAAATATTAAAAAGGCTGACAGGCTGATCAGAATAGGCATTTGTTATTATGAGATTTGTAAATCAATTTATGAACTGTGTGACATATAGGTAGAGGAATCAAGAGGCAATAACCATTTTATGGGGGAAGATCATAAACCTGTCAACTGTTCTATCCCTATGTGCATAAGAGACTGCTCTGGTGCCAAAAATTGATGCTGTCACAGACCTCATACAACAAAGCTAATGCGTTTCTAATTTTACTATTAGTGCTGTCTTTGTAATAGCCCCTCTCCAAAAAAGGATTTCATTCCTTCTGACATTTCCAATATGGTTGTTGTTTACACAGCTGAGTAGAAGTAACTTCCTCTCAGCAAGCCAGCAAAGATTTGTGCCTCAATTTTGACACTCATTTTGCATCCCAGAGTTCCTGAAATCAGCATTCCCAGGGCCCTCAGCATGTGCCTTTAATCACTGGTCTCTGGATCCCTCTCAGATGCTATTTGGTGTTTAAACACTCTTCTATTTTTCCAGAAAGTCCTATGAAATGCCATTCTGTGACACAGCAGAAGAGCTCCTGAGATCCCATTGAAACATACAGGACAAATGTTTCATTACACAAAGTGCGCTGGCTTGACAAGAGTTTCTGCTGCATTCCAAATCATGCTTTAGGGACAGAATGCTACCAGCTTCCAGCAATATTTCCTATTTATTTTGGTGTTTTGACAGTTTCCCTATCTATCCGGCTAAGTGTATATATGAGCCTCAGACATTCATACTTGCCTTTTGACCTCGGGCAATTCACTGCTCCACTTGGGTGGAGGATCTATCTAAGCAATAGATAGACAGATATCCCAATCCAGGAATAGTGATACCTGCCATTCCACCTAATAGAATGTAGTATCAAATGAGAAAATAGATCTAAATGCATTTTACTGTACAAGTAAAGCAGAATAATATAGTAGATAGAATGGGGGCTCTGAAGCCAAACAACTCAGCTAAGAATCCTGAATCCCTCTTGTACAACCAGAGATATTTACTTTCTCTCTCTCTCTGAACCTGTTTCTTCACTCATACAAGGGGAAAATTATAATTTTCCCAGAGGATTCTTGAAAGCAAATGTGCCTCTGCGGTATAGTAGGTACATAATACATGAGTTCATAATCAGAACACATTTAGGATTCTTCTCCTGCCTATAGGCATTTGCCCTAGCCCTTCTCTTCACACATCCACCAAAATGAACGTGAAGTCCAAACCAGTGATCAAACAAGTATTTCATGCATTGTCTTTCAAGCACAACATACATATCTCAAAGCATTCTTCCAGAGCAATGGACCCACCATCCTACAGACAGTGTGCTCCATGGAGGGAAGAGGTATTGAACTAAAAAATCTTTCTTTGGAAGAAGGCCAGAGCATCAGTCATAACAAACCAAATGGACAGACAGAAACAGGGTTTACCATTTCCTTTGGAGGTGTTGAATAGGACTGAAGGGCTGCAAACAGCATCACTAAGGGCTCTTCAAAGTTTTCGAAGTACTAGCCATGTTACACCACCATCTGAAATAGAAAGTATCTCATTAAGGGAACCTACTGTTAACGAGATGACGAAATAGAATGTGTAATTCATCTTTGGACTCAATCAGTCTCATGGCTATTTTGATATAGCTGCTTTAAGTCAATTTCCCTAACACATTCATAATGAATTATGATAAGGAGTTTATAGCAACATATCAAAGTCAGTGTACCATTTAATGACATGAGATGCTATTTACTCAGTAGCTGGCATCTGCATGTGCTGGAAGGCTGCCTCAATGTCACTCTGAGGAAGAGCTGTTGTGATCCCATTTTGCAGGTGGATAATTTGATACCAAGCAATTAGCTAGGATAACTTAATACATTTAAGTATAAATTATATTAAGAGATTGTATTAGATAATCTGTAATGTAACTTCTAAAAGCATTATTTTTCTGATTTCTCCCAAGTCATAACTACAAAAAATACTGGATACAAATCTGAGCGGGTAAAAACCACAGAAACACAAATTAGGCTAGTGCTGTCCAACAGAAACTTCCTATGATGATGAGATTTTCTATAATTCACTGTCCACGGCAGTGGCCATTAGCCACCTGTGATTAGTGAGCATTTGAAATGTGCCAAAACTAAACAACTGAATTTTAAATTTCATTTTATGTTAATTAGTGTAAATTTTCATTTAAATAGACATATACTCCTGTTGGCTATGGTACTGGACAGCACAGGCATAGGCAAAAATGTGACTTTCCATGGTAAGTCTGTCAGAGGAATATCATATAAGGAGGAATATCAGATAAGGAGGAAGCAGGAACTGGAATCCCTAGAATGTAAGGAATTCCTCTTTCATAGTGTGGATATAGTTCAAAAATTCCATGATAGAAGACCAGACCAGGTGGACAGATGTCCACTTTATCTCTTTCAGATAAGTCTACCTTTTTATCCCCAAAAAGGAAGCTTCTTACAATAGCCTCTTGGGTAAGAGTTCCATACATACAGAGTTACTATCAAATGTACCATTCAATTTGTGACACTTTTGATAGTTAGAATGGTCATTATTAATAATTATGCTGGGAAAGCAGACATACACCAGGACCATCCCAGGCAAACCTCGACACACAGTCACCTAAATTTAGGAGATCCTACAAGTGCACATTCTCTGGCACACAGGACCATAGAAAGTCCTTGTTTACAATATCAGGCTATGCTCTACAAAGTATTTTACAGATTGCAGTCCACAAACCTACTACGGAGTCACCTGGGGTACTTCTTAAAAATGCAGGCTCCTGGGTTCTACCTTAGACCTAATAATCAGACTCTTTAGAGGCCAGGCTTCAAAATCTGAATTACCAGGTAATTGTTATACACAAACCACAATACAGAGAAAGACAGCATCTGAAAATTCTAACCTGTGAAGCAAACCTCAACAGTCTGTAGATACTGGGGTAGGGGCACTATTGTTTCTAAATTGTATTAATGATGCCATCTATGAACTGTCTTTGACAAGTATTCTTAGACTATGTGTAAGCGTGCTCATGCTCAAAATGTTCTTCTAAGCAAAGGAGGGAGTAACAAAAAAGGACAACAAACTTTTCCCACTCTGATTCTTTGTGTCTACAGATTCTTCTAATGTCTGCCTCCTGAGACAGATTGCCATGGACATGCTGCAAAACCAAAACTGATTTATTCTTCCCAGTCTGTCCAAGGGTGGGCTATAGAGAGAAAGATTAAAACAAGCAAACCAATAAATAACTCAAATAGAAATCAGTGCTACAGAGAAATTTAAACATCCTGATGGGACACTAGAACGTAAAGCACACGAAGGCAGGAATTTCTGTTGGTCTTGTTTGCTGAGTTATTCCCAGTATCTGAAACATAGCAGGCATCCAATAAATACTTGTCCTATAAACAGACATGATGGAGGAGCAGAAAAGGACTACTTTAGATAGAATAAATAGGCAGTAACGTCCAACTAAGAAATGTTTCAACTAAGAAGGTTCTTCCAAGCTAGGAAGACCCCAGCAAAGAACTTGTTGGCAGAAAAAAATAGGAGATACGAACACCTTGAGGTTAAAACAAGCTTGTCCTATTCCATGAACAAAGTCCTGTGTTCAGCCTGGTGACTGAGGGGAGAGTGGGACTAGGTGATGTCAGTGGAATAGGCTGGCACCAGATCATATAGGATCTTTTGGGAAGCCAGTGGTTTTAAAGCAGGGGAGTCAGACGATCTGGTCTATGATTTGCAAGTTTACTTTAACTGCCCTGAGGAAAATAATCTGTGGGAACACACAAGTGGAAGTAGAAACTCCACCTAGGAGGTTATCACAGGACAGCAGATAAGAGATAATGGAGATATAGACTAGGGTAGCAGGCAGAAGAGATGGAGAAAAGTGGGCAGATAATAGACATATTTTTAGAGTTAGAGGTGGTGATAGCCACCGATGATTTGGATGTGAATAAAAAGGCAAATAGAGAATTACAGATAGATGGATCCAGGTTTCCAGTTTGAACAGTGAGTATTTTCCATGCCACATTTCAATGAGTTCTGGTCTTTCATGTGTTCATGTGCTCTGAGGACTTGTCTGCACACATGCCTGGGCTAATGGTGCCCCTCTCAACCCCACCTTTCAGGAAAAGAAAAGGCGGAAACTTCACCCTGAGTGTAGAAAGGTCCATACTGTCAAAATCATAAAGACACTTGCAGGTGGAAATGGCAGTTTCGGTTTCCTTGTAGTTTTAGCTGAGAGGCCTCTCATCTCTCTTAATAGAAGAATTATGGCAACAAGTTGCAACAAATCTCACCCCTGGGGATGTTCTCTCTCCTTAGCCACCTCAGGGAAATAGAATTTTGATTTTTTAAAGTGCCAGTTGCTAGATGGGTACCAGAAAGTTGCTAGTATGGAGATGGTTCTGAACATAATCCGCAGAACAGGGATGCTGGGCTGGTCTAGATGGGATCCAGGAGGTAGCACACGATCAAGTGGAGAAGTGCCCAAAGCCACGTTCAAGACTGGAAACCAAGAATATGTAGCTAAAGACATGTCCAAAATTAAAGGATTCTGAAACATGAGGAGTAATACTTGCTGGGACCTCCCAGCTTTTTGCCCATGCCTCAAAGTCACTCAGACCATCCAAATGACCATCACTTCAGCAACAAAAAGAATGAGAAGAGGATCAAAGTGTTTTCTATCAATACCAAATTAATTACAGAAAACTGCCTCTGTTTTTACATTGCTCATTTCATCACATCGTAGTGTTTGAAGCTACATCTCTTCCAACAGAAATGAACAAAAGTGGATGCTGCCAATTTGTCACCTTTGTGTATGAAAAGGACTCAGCTGATATTTGAAGGATGTTTCTACTGATTGCCTATTATCATAACATGAGATTAAAGGGGAGAGAAAGTATGGCTTGCGATTGTTACAGCCTTGACAAGAAAGGCCTCCAGTCACATCTTATTAATTTACTGTGGAACAGAATGTCACATTGACATTTCAAATTATCCTGTTGCTTTGTTCACAGGATTATATTGAGCTTAAACTCATTGAGTTCCTAGTTTGGCTATTTATATGAACTACAACTCTAATCTTCTGATGTCTTGACCTGCACACAAGACCAAATTTTACCATTTATAAAAATGATTAACTGCCCAGTCTTGGGGGGCGAATAGATGTAGGCTCAAATATTCCTTGATCCACTTCCTAACTGGATCTTCTTGGGCAAGTGAGTTTTCCTCTCTGTGCCTAAATTTCCTCATTTGTGATAAGAAAAGTGATATCCACCTTATGTGTTTCTAATAAGGATCAAATGAGATAATATATGAAAACCATTTAAAACTATCAAAAAGACAACTAGTAATAAAATAGTAACAACAATGACAATATATAAACTATAGATAGATGATAGATAGATGATAGATAGATATATGATAGATAGATAGATAGATAGATAGATAGATAGATAGATAGATAGAGTGAGAGAGAGACAGAAATTTTTTCTTTACTTATTCAGGGGAGAGACCAAAGAATTGGTAAATGTCCCAAGTGATATGAAGATGTTGCCAGGGTTGAGAACAACCAGGGTGGAGTAAGCCAAGTCCACACAGAGAAAAACTGGGCTCAACCAAGGCTGGGCCCCAGCTCTCGCTAGATATGCCAATAGCAAAGTCACTTCATTTTTCTGAATAGGAATAACTGCTTATTTATTTCAGTTATTATAGGAATTAAATGAAGTTATGTGAAAGTGTTTTATAAAGAGCTATATTACTATTGGTTGCAGAGGAAAATTTTGGAGAACACTTGAATAAACAAAACATAGAGCAACCCAGGAAATTCCAATTAAATAGCTATTTTCCTAACTAACAGCTATGACTACACAGGGAAAGAGTCTCCACACTGGGACATAGGATGCAGAACCGTGCAAATAAGTTGTCAATACTTGTGGTATCAACAATATCTACTTTTTAATTACCAAACTATCTACATTTACTATACAAAACATAAATAACACAGTAAAGAAAAATAGAAATTAAAATTACTCATAATATAACCATCTATGAATCACCATTATTGATATTTTCCAAAACTTTAATGCATAATACAAATATGTAAGATAAAAGTCACACTAGACATATTGTTCTATGATCTCCTTTGCTCACTTGATATAATATAAACATATTTGAATATCAATGAATACAGTTCTTCACATCATTGTCCTAATGGGTACATTAGTAGCCAATTCCTGAGGATTTACCACTTAGGCTATTTCCAATTTTCCCTCTCTTACAAACAATTCTGCAGTACATCCTTGCACACGTATCAATGTTCACTTGTCCAACTGTTTTTCTAGAATAAATTCCAAGTAGCAAAGTTGCTCAAACAGAAGATAAGAAAAACAAATACAATTATTTGGTTTTATTACAGAAATACAGGGTTTTTAAAAATTCAAACAATATCTGCCACCTGCAGATTAAAATCCACATTCTCATGGCTGGGTGCAGTGGCTCACGCCTATAATCCCAGCACTTTGCGAGGCCGAGCTGGGTGGATCACTTGAACCCAGGAGTTCAAGACCAGCCTGAGCAAAATGGCAAAACCCCGTCTCTAGTAAAAATACAAAAAATTAGCCAGGTGTGGTGGTGCATGCTTGTATTTCCAGCTGCTCTGGAGGCTGAGGCATGAGAATCACTTGAAGCTAGGATGCAGAGGTTGCAGTGAGCCAAGATCATGCCAATGCACTCCAGCCTCAGCAACAAAGCAAGATTCTGTCTTGAAAATATATATATATTTTATATATATAAATATAAGATTTTTTAATAAATTTTAAAAATTAAAAAATTTAAATTTAAAAATTAAATTTTTAAAAAATTTTATACTTAAAAAATTTAAAAATTTTAAACTTTTTATATAAAAATATGAATATTATATATATATATACATATATAAAAATTATATGTTCTCCTCTACCTGGGCATAGGGCCTAAACAAATTCTCCAGCCTCTCTTGAGGTTGGTTGAGGCCATGGGACTAAGTTTTAGCCAATGGGATGTGAGCAAAAGTGATGGAAGCCGTGTGTCAGCCTGTTCCACCTCTCAGGCAATTCTTTTTTATCTCACTGACCTCCTTGGTTGTTGGATGACAATGCCAAGGATCATTTTGAAAGCTATATGTTGAAGACGGCAGAGACTCCATCAGCCTGGATTCCTGAATGACCATGACAAGCATAGCCCATCCCATGCTAAACTGGAGCAAGCCTAGATTATTTACCTAAGCAAGAAAGAAGATTCTATTGTGTTTGTATATAACACAGTAGATAACTTAAGAGTTTTTTATTTATAAATATTTATGGAGTACAAATGCAATTTTGTTACATGCATAGATTGGATAGCGTTCAGGTCAGGGATTTTAGGGTATTTATCACCCAAATAATTACATTGTACCCATTAGGTAATTTCTCATCATCCATCCCCATCTCACCCTTCTGAGTCTCCATTGTCTATAGCTCCACTCTCTACATCCATGTGTACACATTTTTTAGTACCCACTTATGAGAACATGCAGTATTTGGCTCTGTATGGCTTGCTTCACTTAAGATAACGACCTTCAGTTCCATGCATGTTGCTTCAAAAGACACGACTTCATTCTGATATGGCTCCGATGACTGGAGGAACACCAGGGTCTCGCCCATAGGATTAATGACACGGACACACGTGGAGTGGTTTTAAGGAGCGAAAAGTTTAATAGGCAAGAAAGAAGGAAGGAAGAAGAAAACAGGTCCCCTGTACAGAGACAGAGGGAGGGGGGATTTGAACAAAGAGAAAACCCCATGTGTGGTGGAAAAGTGGCTGCTTATATTGGGATGCTGGAGGAGGTGGTGTCTGGTTTCCATAGGGCCCAGAGGATTGGTTTGACCAGGTGTGTCATTCATGCAGCCCACGAGAAAATGGGCCCTCCCATTGTGACCTTTTTATATGCAAATACAGGGTGCCATGACGTTCTACGCACGTGGGGATATGTGGGGGACAGCCATGTTGCCAGGCACAAGTAGGGGCAAGGGCAAGAAGACAATGGGAATTGCCACATTTGGGTGGACCCAGTTTCTAAGGGCCAGCATTTGCATATCAAAGCTTGCCTGCCCAGCTCTAAGAGCTGGGGCTTTCCTGCTAGACAAGAAATGTTTCTGGAGCTGCTTTAAAAGAAACAAAAACTTCCCAAGGACCCCTTTTGCTCTCTGCCTAAAATAATTTCTTAATAACTCCCGTAACAATTCCTTTTTATGGCTGAATAATATTCCATTGTGTATATATGTACCCCCATTTTCTTTATCCAATATTTGTTGATGGACTTAGGGTATTTTTGTCATAGAAATTCACCCTCTTTAATTATACAGCAATATATGCCTTCAAGTGGCATACCTCCATAACAAAATTCTAACATATGGGGCAATGGGTTGGTGGCCAAGTAGCATGGGGTAGGGAAACTCTTAACAGAGGCTCAACAGTTGGAGACCCGTGATATATGGTGACAAAGAATTTGGTAAACCCTGTCTTGGAAGGCAGGCCACGTTCCTCCCTTGCTTGTAGCTATGGGGTAAGTGATCAGAAAAGAGGTATTAGGAGAGTGTGTTGACTATTACTTGTTGCATCTAGGAAAGATTTACAAGAGATAAATGAGTTCAAGAAAGAATTGGTTGATTTGCAAGCAGAAATGAAAGATAATGGAGAACGTCCAGAAAATCAGGCTTTGCAGAACTGAAGAATTTAACCACTACTGAACAACAATCATATGAAGTGAGACTGAAAATATGCCTTGAAGCCTCCATCAATTGCTGTTAGTTAAACAGAGGTATTTAACAGTATGGCAAGTATCATATTAAATATGTCTCCTTTCCACCTAAGGCTGTAGTTTCAAATGGCTGCCAAAGAGCCACCAGTAAGTTGAGGGAGAGAGGCACTGGGTTGGGAAATGAGGAAAGAGACAAGGTTTAAGTGTTTTGTCTTAGGAAAGAATTTAGGTTTGGTTACACTCACATGGAACCCACTGAAAGCAAACAGATTACAAGGCAACTAAATATTTGAGGAACTGATATCGCCAAAGAATCCTGTGCCTAAACTAAAAAAGCTTTAACTATTCAAGCCTTTAAAGAATTCTTAGGCAGGCCCTGTTATTGGTACAGCAGAAAGCAAGATGAGAGTACTGTGCAACCCCTGAGGAGGGTACATTCCTGGTTCTCAATTCATGCAGGGTCATGGAGGATAATGGACAAGGAAGATGCACCTAGAGCAGGGAACCAGGGTCATTCAGTAGATGAGGGAGTTCCTCCAAGATGGCAGAATCAGGATTTATTTCAGGAACTTTCCCTACTGCCAGGAAAGGGGGACGTCACAAAGTTTGCCCAGCAGGGTTCCATCATTGCCATGAACCAATGACTCTTCTCATTCCTGAATGGGAGTTTTTACTGCAGTTATCTTGTTGCAGGTCCACCATCATAGTGTGTGTGTGGGTGTGTGTGTGTGCGGGGGGGGGGGGTGGGTGTGTTGCCAGTGGATGGTGGAAAGTGGGGGAGAGAATGCATCTTTTTAATATGCAGGTCACCAAACCACTAGGAATCACATCTGGATATGATTGAGAACACTGTGCATCACCCAGGGACCCTTGCCTTTGAATTTTCTATGGAGTTTAGATGAAACTTTGTGTTATCTTCCTCAAGAAAGAAGGCAAGTGTGCTCTCTATGTAGATAGAAGGGAGCACTGGATATTTGGTAACCACAAAACCTGACTCTGGTAGAAACTTCTAGCTGTTCACCAAAACCTTTGTTCCCCCTTCTTCCTGGAAATACAGCCAGATTCCATTTCCCAGCCTCTCTTGCAATTAGATGTGGTCACATAACTGAGTTCTAGCAAACTGAATATGAGCAGAAGTGACATTTTCAAGCCTGCCCTGTAGACACACACATATGGACACACACACCCACACCATGTACCACATACACCATACTACATACCCCCAATGAATAATCTTCTATGCTCATTTTTCTTCTGCCACCTTGGTGTCAATGCCCAGGGACTGAATGTGACATCAGTACCCAGGGCAACCTTGTAAGCTGCATGTTGAAGACTGATCTCTGAATGACTGTGTGTGAGGTAGCGCTTTTTTGTACCCTTCCTCAGTGTCCAGGAACTGCTTTGGGTTTGTTACACAAAGAAAAACTAAACCTCTATGTTCTTTGAGCCATCAGCTCTATTTGGGTATACTTGTTACAGCCATCAGCTCTATTTGGGTATACTTGTTACCCTACTAATATAATTCAAATGCATATAAATAATGAAAATGAAAGCCCATGTCTTTACCTAATTATAGTCCTTGGAGTGATTGACTTCTAACACCATTGTGTACTCCTCTAAGTTTTTCTGCATTTGTATGAATACATACATAATTACAAAATTGAGATCACCTTATAGATATTATTCTGAGATACTTTTAAAGAGTTCAAGTATAAATTTTATACGATATACGTTAATGTGACTAGCTAGCACTCTATGCCTTGACTAAATAATAATTATATATTTGGGGCTAACAAAAGCCATGCAATAAACCTATAAAGCTCTTCAGTCTTTTTAAAAAAGCACCTTGCTTGAAACTTGGCAAATGAGATATACAGAAAAAAGAGTATTAAACACTACCCAGAAATATGTAGAAATAACAACTTCTATCCCAGTGACTGAAAGGAAAAGCAACAGCAAAACTCTACATGTGATTATAAAAAAACAGAACACTGTCCATCTGGCCCTCTATCATTAGTCTTGTGAGTATATTTTTTACCAATAAGCTTAGGATCTCACTATAGACAAAAGCCACCAGACTCTGCATCTAATGCTCTCTTAGAAATACAGGTGCTGGTGAGCAATTGATATGTTGCCCAGTGTTTTCTTTGGTTCTGTATCCTTCTTATTTATAGATATTTTCAGACATTCTTCGCAAAAAACACTGAACACAGAGCTAGTACATGGTAAACTATTTCAATCAATTATTGTCTCGGAAGGTAGTACTTGCCTTGGAATTCATAGAATAATGCCACTTTCCTGATGACATGTCTAACGAAGCTTAAGAACACTTGTGCCATCTTCCAGTTTTTTAAAGGTCAACTCTGGTTTTGCTCAATCACTATTCACATCTTCCTATAAGAGCACACAGCTCCAGCTGCTCTGAGCCGTCCCTCACATGCTACTTCACTGGCCAGTCCCTCCCACCCTCCCTGCACATAGGTCTGAGTAGAATGACCTTCTTCTGTGTTCCCACAGCATTCTGCCCATGCCTCTGTCCAATGAATCAGACTTATTTTTGTCATTATCATCACATGTACGGAGAACCTACGTGTCAAACACTATGCTAAGCATTTTATATGCATTTTCTCATTCAAATCTAATAACCTATGTTGTAATGTTCAGTAAATACCTAGTATCAGAACCAAGATTCAAAGTCAGGCAATCTAATCTAAGAGATGATATTCTTAAAAATCCGTGTAATAGTTGGTTTTCTTGCCTCTGTTTCTTTCATCCACAAACATCTATTGATCAACTATTCTGGATCAATCTCACATTCACAATACATTATAAGCACCTTGAAATAAAAGACATTTTCTAAATCTTAGCATTTCTAGTGTTCAGTACCATACCTGAAAAATAATTGCTGCTCAATAAATTTGTGATGCATCACTAAATATAAATGCACCTAGCCTGTTCTCTGCCCCACCTCTACAGTCAAACAGGAAGACAAGAAAATCCTTGCTGAAACAAAAGGGAATGGGCTGGCATCTTCCTGCCACTAGAAATACATCAAAAGGAGGCTGAACCTCTGCAGGTTAATGTTCTTGATCTTTTAAAAATTGAAGTAGACATACAATTATAAAGACTATAACTCAATTTGTTCTAGAGTCTTCAATACTATAATATGTTGGTCCTCTAAAACTCTATGCTCTATGTTTTTCAAGTCTTTTAATGGTCCAGGGAATACAGAGATCATTCAGGGTTCAAGTTGAGATAGGAAAATCTATGAAACAGGAAGGGTTTAAGATAGATTTTAAAGAATGGGTAGGATTTGGATCAAGGCCATAGATTTGGCACTTTCCAAGCTAGGGAAATAATTAAGTCTATGGGAATGGACATAGTTATGGTTAGTGTGGAACTAGCCTAACTAAAATGAAGACTAGAAATCTATAATGATTGGAACCTAAGGAGATGATGAGGTGGAGGAAGATAGATGATGATAGACAGATAGGTATGTAGGTAGATAGATGATAGATGATAGATAGATAGATAGATAGATAGACAAATAGATACATAGATACATAGACAGACAAAGTGGGTTCTGACCTTAAAAGAGACTTACAAAGCATAAGTTGGAATCAATGAGCTATTTTTAGTTTATAAACAAAAAGTGACATAATAAAAGGAGTATTTTAAAAACATATTGGCTTGGCAACCATTTGCAAGACGGATTTCCAAGAAGGGCTCCCTTTTTATCCTGTGTCTTTTTTCTCACTTGGGCTAAGGATAGGCAATCTCAAAATGATTGCAATTCAGGGGAAAGAGCCAGTGGAGAAACTGGCCACAGAAGTTAGGTTTCAACGACAAAAATACTCCTCACACCACTAAGCCTGCATATCCTGTTCCTTGGCAAAGAAACAATGTCATCTAGGGAGGAATCCCTTTACCTTAGGCAGTCCCTCCATAGTGGGTAACCACTTTACTGGCTCTCTTTTGCCACACACTAGCATCCTCACTCCCAGGTCTGAAGGAGCATTTCCTAGGAATTTTTTCCAGAACTGTTCTCTACAATGAAGCATTCCACCCCTTGTCCCTAGTGAAGACCTGGAACAGCACTGCCCACAAACACCCATAATCAGATGTGTTCCAAAACCACAGTCACTATCTGGATAGCTATTGGCTTTCTCCAGTGGTTCACACTTGCCTACAGAAGGAAGCCAAATCCCTCCATATGGCTTTCAAGACCTTGGTGAAGTTGTCACCCACTCTCCAGCTCAGTATTAACTCACAATCAGAACTCTGCCTCATAGACTGTCTTCACCAGCCAAGCTAATTAGTTCATGGAGCAGTAGCCCCCCATGGCTGCTGCCTATCTTTTGTGATGTGGCCCTGCTCTGAAGTTAAGCCTCATCTCCTGACCCCTGCTCCCTTACCCATCCTTAGCAATCAGTGTTCTTTAACTGCCCAGGCCCACAGGAATCTCCACTTCCTTTAAACTCCTAATGAAATTATTGTGTCTACCAATTTCTTAGGCACTTTAAACTTTCATATAATTCCTTAACTCTTCTTGCGAGTATCCTTTCCTATCAATTACACTGCATCTGGCAAATCCTTGTTGAAAGCTTTCATATCCTTCACAGACCCAAGCACCAAATAGGTGCTCAATAAATACTCTGAAGTGAATTTATGATGACTAATTATTCATCTATGTATTTGATGAAATGGCAATGGGATAGCAGATTTGAAATGGGTAATTCATCATTTCTTCCACTGTGTTACATTGCAGAATTCTAATTATAGTGACTCTTGGTATTACATACGGTTATTCAGAAAATCAGGATGCGGTTTTAGCTCAAGGATTTAGTTTGCCTGAGACTGAATGTAAATGATTATATTATTCTAAAGTAACCATACATCGCACCTCAAAGTAACTATTTTTGCACCCTGCTCATTAATGCTCAGCACAGCTAGCTGGGAAGACACATCAAATCAGTACAAATCTGACAGTCCATTTTTCACTACCATTCTCTTCATCTATTGCAAAACAAACAAGGATTTGCTAAGCTGAGTTTGCTTCTCAGTGAAAAAAGCCTGGTAGTAGTAAAATTTCTCTAAAAACACCTATGCTTCTTCACACCCTGAAGAATGTATCACATCCACACTCATTGCACCCAGGAAAGAGAAAAAAGAAAATAGATGCCATTTTTTAAAGAAAACTGAAATGCAGTAAACTACTTAAACCACAAAAAAATTAAAAGTTGGGGATTGTCTATTAAAATTATGGAAGGATCACTTGCTTTACAAAAGAATGTGCTGCAGGATTTTATAAATACATCAAATTCTTGGCATTTTGGATATAATAATCATTGTTTCAATCACTGCATTAACAATCAAATACAAATAATGTGCAGTAATTTGTCATGTTGTTGAGATACACATCTGAGTCATACATGCTGAAGTGATTCTTATTTACCACCTGATTTCATTCAATGTCAGAAACAACTCTGTCAGGTAGGTATTATACCATCCCCATTTACAGACTTTCAAGGAAAACATGCAAAGTTTATGCTTTATTGGCCTTCATAAATTTGAGCATTCCTGAGGCTCCCTGCTCTGTTTCAGTGCCAGTCTAATTCCCTAGAGTAAAGCATCTCAGACACAAGCTTTGTTTAATAATATTGTCTTTTGTTGGCCTTTGGATCTGTAATAATTTATCAGGCTTTTTTCTCCTCTACCCACACTGAGATTGAGTGCATCACGGTGGGGCTTCATTTTATTTTGTTCATTAACAAAATTCACTCTATTTCTATAAAGCTGCCATCTGATTCTCTAAGATTCACAAACAAAAGTGGCCTGTGGTGGTGGCAAGAGAGTGGCAGAGAGGTATATGGAAGAATGCCAAGGGAACAAGTCCCACAGTTCCAGATCGGGCCCCTGACAAAGATCGATGCTTTTCATCCCCTACTTACTTTAGCTTCAGTAAAGTAACTTCAGTAACTTTGTCCAATTACTGAAAGTTACCGTGAAGAAATGCAACAGAGGTGATGCCGTCTTTTAATTGGCCAAAGTTTGGGCAAATAATCTAAACTAGGTCTTAACCAAAACTGAAAAATGGAAAAAAGAAGGGAAGAAAGTATTAAAATGAAAGAATAATCTTTCTGACTCCCCAAAAGTCTTTCCAAGAATGTAAACTTCCAGTTTTTTATTTTGTTATGTTCTTAAAGACACTGGTATGTTATGAGTATCTGAGGGGCACCTAGATACGTTAGGAAGACATAAACCCTTCACCACCCAAGGACCTAGAATTTTAGAAATACAATACAAGAGTAAAGATGAAGGTCAAAATTTCATTCATTAGTGGTGTATATGGATCAAAGGAGGCAGCTTGTGTGAGAGACAAATGTGCCAGGTCATTCCCTATCCAAACCCATGGCCACACTTGAGACGGCACACCCAAGAGGAGTGTCAGTCCTTAAGGCTGACCAGCCATTGCGTCTCACTGAGAAGAATAGGAACCACACTCAGGACCTTGGATAGATTTTCCACAAACAATCAAGAAACCTGTTGCCTTCTAACCAGGTACACACTCCCTCTCTGTCAGGAGGAGACTGAGGAGTAAGGCAAGAGGTCACGGGAGTATGATTTGGGAAAAATTACTCTTCATAAAAATCAAGAGGAGAGAAGGGCATCCTCCTCTACCAGATGTGACCTCTCACACCTCAGCACATTTGCAACCCAGAGAGCAACTCTATTAGTCCCTCCACAGCTATTATCCTACAAAAGGGGCAGATATAGCTGGATCCCATGACTTCACAACTATCACCTCCCCTTGGGGCCATATAAACCACACTCACTATATACCCAGTAGCCTCTGGGAAAAGATGAAAATGGGGGAGATATGAAAATTAGAAATAGGAGAACCTCAGAATCTACTTTTACCAGGAAGTATTCTATTTTCTGGATTGAGCTAAATAAATTTGCTTTAGCCCACCCAAAATGTAGGACTCCTATGGGATATTATTTGTCAATAAAGACAGAAAAGAAATACATTTTCTTGGTATATCTGAGTGTGGAGAGAGGAAATTTGCAACTACCAGATATAGCTTACAAAACCAAACACATTATAAAACAGGGCAATAAAAGTTAAAATAGACCAATGACATTAAAATGAATAAAAAGTACATATAACTAGACTCCTGAGATAGTTAATTACCAAAACTGATCACAAAACTTTGCTTCGAGCTTGCTAGAAACTGAATCAAAATGAATTCTTAGCATCTGAAAAAAAAGTATGCAGTTAAGTCAGTCAATTCATGGATGATTCCTCCTCCATCTATTAATTTGCAGTTTCATTTTGAAAGCTGTGATTTCTTAATCTAGAGGTTTAAAGGAAATAAAATTTGTAGACCAAGATTTAACAGTGTAGAACAAACTCCTTGACTTTAAACTAGAAATCTCAGGAAGCTGAATTAACATTTAGGCCACTAGGGTGCAATTTAGAAAATTATTGCTTCATAGGCTCAAATACAGTAGTACCCCAATGGAATTAAAGATTACAACTAAGTCTATGCTTTATTAAATTGCACCTTGGAGTCCTGTAGTATAGGAGTCCTATACTATTGGGTAGCACCCTTCAGGTACTGGAATTTACCTGTTTGTTGTTACTCTCCGTGGAGCTAAAGTAATTATCTATTAGCATGAGCTTAGAAAACAAACAATTTTTAACCAATCCTGAAGGAGAAAAGAAAGAGACATTAATTCTATTAGAATGAACATATATTTCCTCCCTAGTTTTGTCCTTACTGTATAATATTTAGTGAAACCAAGCATAATAGATTATTTTCTAAAAGTGAGTTAACATTTCATGTAAATTAAAATATTAACTGGTAAACTCAAATGGATTTTGTTTTTGTGTTTCAGGTGCCTTAGGATAATGAGATCAACTTACTTCCTGAATCTAGGATTCCTTAAAATAACCCTTGAACCCACGCATGAACTCTGAAAACTTTCCTAAGTACAAAATACCTTCACTGTCCAATATGGCAAGAATAAGCCAATATGCTTATTCAAATTTAAATCTAAATGAAGTAAAATTTTAAAAGATTACAAATCCAGTTCCTCAGTTACTCTAGTCACATTTCAAATAGTCAATAGCCACATATGCTTAATGACGTGGGCATAACGACCTGAATTGTAAGTAACCTTCTAAGGCCCTAACTAGAAGTACAATAATACAAGAAAATATTTTGCAGATTCGTCTTTGCTCATATTTCCTTCCCTCCCATCTTATCAAAAGGGCAAAACTGCTCCTCAAGCAACTGTCGTAACTGTTCTCATTACCTTACCTTCAGATACAGGCTGCAAGAGAAAAAATTCACATAGACCTCTAAAGACGACATCAGAGGTAACTAAGGAACTAGTGGAGGGGAAAGTCCAGGAACAAATAATTATAATCCAATGAAATAGGTACAGAAATAAGAACCCCTAGGGCATGGGAGTTCATGAGAAAGAGCGACATTATAACTAGGTCTCAAGCAGAATTAGTGCTTCCCAAAACCAGAAAGGACAGAATGGAGGGTGTTCCAGATGAAAAAGACAGTTCGTGTGAATGTATAGAGATATTAAAGAGTAAGATGTGTCTGGGGACTAAACGAAACTAAATCATGGCATGAAATTACTGGGGGAAGGATAGATGGAAGGAGCTAAAATTAGAATCATGAGTGGGAGCCAAGCTGAAAGCATGCCATCCTATGGGGGTAGGGCTTACTCTGCAGGGGCTAGGGAATTGATGAAGGTTTTGTCATATTGCACACTTATGCTTTGAAAAAAAGGAAGTGTTTGTTGACAAAATAAAAATGATCAAATACACATAGGACAATTTTTTTTAATGTTGGACATTTATACCACATGGCAACTTACTACCAGATGCCAAATAGAAGTAATGTTCCTATACACATATTCACACTTCTATAAATACACATATAAACATATGTATAGATTATCAGAAAATAAATATAACTATAAAATGCTAGTGAAGCTATATGGGTGTATGGGTATGTAACCCAGACTTCCACACACACATGAACATACATACAAACACACACACATACACAGACAAACTGATTAAGCACTTCCTCTATGTCAAGGCCTGTGTTACTATTGCTATTTTATCTCATTTTAATACTTAGCAAGTACCTCAGAGTATAGGAGCTACTTTTCTCATTTTAAAATTAGAAAATTATGGCCCACATAGGTTGTTTATCTTACCCAAAAACAGACAACCAGGAAAAGGTAGAATCAGACATGGAAGTCACACATTTATGATTTTTTTATTATACTTCAAGTTCTGGGATCCATTTGCAGAACGTGCAGGTTTGCTACATAGGTATATATGTGCCATGGTGGTTTGCTCCACCCATCAACCCGTCATCTACATTAGGTATTTCTCCTAATGCTATCCCTCCCCTAGCCCCTCACCCCCCAACAGACCCTGGTGTGTGACGTTCCCCTCCCTGTGTCCATATGTTCTCATTGTTAAACTCCCACTTATGAGTGAGAATATGTGGTGTTTGGTTTTCTGTTCCTGTGTTAGTTTCCAGCTTCATCCATGTCCCTGCAAAGGACACGAACTCATCCTTTTTATGGCTACATAGTATTCCATGGTATACATGTGCCACATTTTTAAGCCTGTGCTTTTATCTTGTAGCCAATATCCCCTTCCTGTCTAATATAACATATTTGATTCACAAAGGCCCAGGCCCGGCATTCTTCAAATATGCTTAGTAGAATTACATAAAATATAAAAAAAAAATTAAAAATAAAGAAAAAGTTTGATAAAGCTTGAGTTCTTATACACCCATGATTTCTCAATAGTGGCTTGGGATAATGAGATCAATTTACTTCCTGAATCTAGGATTCCTTAAAATAACCCTTGAACCCACATATGAACTCTGAGAACTTTCCTATGTACTATATACCTTCACTGTCCAATATGGCAAGAATGAGCCGATATGCTTATTCACATTTAAATCTAAATGATGTTAAGTTTTCAAAGATTAAAAATCCAGTTCCTCAGTCACTCTAATCACATTTCAAATAGTCAATAGCCACATGTCACTAACGACACGGGCACAATGACTTGAATTGTAGGTTCCCTTCTATGTCCCCAACTAGAAGTACAATAATATAAGGAAATATTTTGCAGATTCGTCTTTGCTCATATTTTCTTCCCTCTCATCTCACCAAAAGGGCAAAATTGCTCCTCAAGTAACTGTCGTAACTGTTCCCATTACCTTACCTTCAGATACAGGCTGCAAGAGAAAAAATTCACATGGACCTCTAAAGAAGGTATCAGAGGTGACTAAGGAAGAAGCTTTGTAGCCAGCTCATGAAGGGGAGCACAGGAGGAAAGTAGTCAGCTGCCCCAGAAAATTATTAACATTAAATGGGCATGAGAGAGTTAGAAAGGTAGGCACTGGTAAAAAAGGAAGCTTAGTAGGAGTACAAGATTGAAATAATCCCTGTCATTTTGTTTCTCAGTTTGAGGAACCATGGCAATCAACATTTTGTTTTCCTTCTTCTGTGAAAAAACTACACCGATAAATATCTCCAAACCTTCACTCAGTTATTGGCAGCATGTTAATATTTATCTTAAATGGCAGCTCGCTTTCTTCGTTAGTTCAATATTGAGGAAGAAGCTGTTCCTTTTGAGATTTCCCACTGGTTAGAGTTAATTATACTTATCAGAGCCTGAATTCGTGGAAGACATCAAGGTCATCCCTGAAGTGGGTGGATTTCATGACCTCCAACAAGTCATGAAACCTTGCCTGCCTCTGTGTCGAGTTAACAACAGTGACATCAGATAGACTCAGAGCACAGCCATTTCAACTTACTACATTTTAACTCCATGGTGCTACAGAGAGCGAAGAAGGAGGAACAGGGGTCCATTCACAAGTGCAGCTTAAGAAAAACAGAAATTGCAGATTCGGTTATAGATTTGTCTGTCTTAGTCACGTAAGCATGGCCCTTCCTTCCTCAGGTTGTAATAATTTCAGATCTTCATGAAGCTCAAGGCAATTCATCAACATTAATCAATTTCAACACAAGCTTTGGGTAGAAGGTCAGGATACATAACAGAATTGCCGTAGCTGAACCAAACGTAACCCAGAGAAGACAAACATCTTTGCCAGAGAAACTTAGTAGGGAGCAGCAAGAAAATAGGCTCTGGTTTAGACTAAATAATCTTCATTATTACTATTAACTATCATAGATACTCCTACACACACACACACACACACACACACACACACACACTAGAAGACATAACAAATTCTATTTCAAAAATGACTTGGAATTGGAATTCTACCTCTCAGACCTAAAATGGACCTCAAAAGATCATCTATAAAAGCAGAAAAAAGGAAGCCAAGAACAGTTTTCTGGCTTCGTCCTGTGGCACACTCTCCACTGTATCATACTATCCTGGATCAGTTAGAAAGCAATTACTTGCAGGAAACAGAAAATCCTACAACTGTAGCTATTAACAGAAGTTTAACCAAGTTATCTCATTTAACAAAAATTCCAGAGGTAGGTGTTCATTCACCGACTCAAAAATGTCATAACTGATGTTTTGAGATTTCCTTGCCCTTTTCTTCATGATTGTTGCCTTGTGGTCACAATATGGTCACTGCTTCTCCAGTAAAGGAAAAGCAAAGGGCATTTATGCCTGTACTTCATTAGTCAGAACTATACTACATGGCCACCCAACCTGCAAATGAAGCTGGGAAATTGAGTGTTTTAAATGGCTCACATTGCTGCCTCAAACAAAATAAGGAATCTGTCAGCAAGAAAGAAGAGAATTAATACTGGGTGGCCATTTTACAATCTTTCACGCATACTGATTTTCCAAGGAACTGTTTCATCCTTTCTAGAGCAGACACACAATTTAATCTAAAAAGCCAGTTGTTTATTTGTGATGACCTGCGATGGCAGGGAAATGAGGAAGTAAATCTCACTCTTCTAGTTAGGCTGTGCTGCCTCCCACTTACCCACTCAAACCCACCCATTCCTATCACTCTGAGGCTATGGGTTCAAGGTTTCAGTCTGAGATTCCTTGATGCCCACACATCACCCATATCCCACAGGGAGAATACACAAGGGAATGACAGTTTAAGAAGATGTCCTCCAAAACAAACGGTGTGTAGCTTTTGTTTCAAGTGAAAAGTATCACTAGAAGAGCTACTAAATGATAAAATTTGAAAGAAAAGAAAATCCTACCACACAGTATTTGTTCTCCTTGCCCCCTTTTCTTTCTTTCTTTCTCTTTCTCTCTCTCTCTGTCTCTCTCTCTCTCTCTCACACACACACACACACACACACAGACACACATTTAAAATAGTCCTTTTACCAACAAAAGCAAAAAAAAGTATTGGTACAAGATTAGGGCATTTAAACATCATATAACTGTATATCATTGGAAGGGGAGTGAATTACTTGTCAAACAGACCTTTAAAAGCAAAGATCAACTGTTAAGAATTCATAAATTCATCCACCTTTGTTTTAAAGTTAAGACAAAATAGGAATCTGCACAAGTACATGCTGTTTTATATGAGTATAATTAGGTATTTAGCTTCTTGAGATGAGGATTTACTTGTTTGGAGAATGAGAGAACTGCAGCCAGCCAGCCTCTAAAATTCATTAGAGATTGAACCACCTCAGGCAGGGAAATGGCCATTCAACCTCTAGGTACTATCCTTAGTAGTAGGAAGTCATTACCTAATAAGAGAGCCAGCTTGTGCCTAGGGCGACCAGTTATCCAAGTTTTCCCAGAACATAGAGGTTTTCTGGGATACCAGATAGTAAGTGCTAAAACTGGGAAAGTCCCAGACAAACTGGGATGAGTTGATCACCCCACCTTTCCACATAGAGCATGTTGCCCCTAACCTGACCTCATTTCTACCTCTCTTGTTCTGCTTCAAGGAGATGAATTAGAGAAGAGCCCTGTAGTTATCATCACACTCGATGACTAAAATAAATTTCTAATTATTCAAAATGTCCTTCTACATGTTCAAAGTTTTTATTACGGTTTATTATGTGACATCTGTTTCTGAAGGGAAAATTTAGGAACATAGCTCATAAGATGTACTTTGTTTTAAATTTTATTTAGATTTTACCACCTGCTTTATAGCAGCATGCCGCATTTAGACAGGCTCAATCCCCCTTTTCACAGTTATATTCAATAGCTGGAAGACAGATGCGTCCAATGGGTTTGATTTGTTTTGGCATTTTGGGCACAAACTTAATTATGATAAACCAGTCCAGTTCTTTTTTACTTACCCTCCTCCTCAGAGTGGATCACACTGATAAAGTGTGATTTAAGTATATTTTTCAGTAATTCTAATAATTGACCCAGGGAAATTAAAATAATATTTTCCTGTTCTACTTGTCATAATCTGTTGAGATATCTTTCAAAATGTGCTACTGTGGGGAAAAAAGAAATTCTATACACACATTATTGCTGAAATTTCCTGGCTGTTTGCCTCCCAGAAGGGCAATGCATGAAATATTTATTCAAAAATGGAAATATTAAGAATTAAATGAGTTTAAACCAACCTAATTACTTTATGGGCATTTCTTCACTGCTTAAGGAAATTCCAAATTATCTTCAGCTCTGCATAGACTGTGTCAACTAGAACATACTGAAAAAAATGAAAAAATCCTCTCAAACAGCCAACTTGACTGATTTAATTCTATTTAAATAATTGTTCTCAGGATGAAGTGACTGGTTTAGTGTTGAAGGAACAAGGTCAGAGGAGTTAACGAACTTTAAGCTACATGAGACCTAAGATCATTCACTCTTTCACTTAACAAATATTTATGGAGCACCTACCATGTGCTAACCACTTTTCTAAGTGCTGTGAACAAAAGAGCCAGAGTTTGCATCCTCATGAAGCTTACCTCCTGGCAGGAGAGAGAGACACCACCCCCTCAATAGTGATGATAAATAATATGAAGAAATGTAGCAGGGTAAATTCATGTGACAAGTTTTTTTCTGTCTTAAAGGAGGAAGGAGGAGTGCTCTCTGAGAAAGTGACCTCTAAATAGTGACCTAAATTAATTCAAGAGAGGAAAGAGCTACCTCCCCTCCCACCATCATCTTTATGTGTATAGAACAGTGTTTCTCAAAGTGTGGTCTCCAGACCAGCAGCATCCTCACCACCCCTGAATTTGCTTAAAATGCACATTCTTAGGCCCTACTTTAGACCTGTTAAATCTGAAACTCTGGGGGTAAGGCCCAGCAATCTGTGTTTTTAGAAGTTTCATAGGTGATGTTATACATGCTCAAATTTGAAATGGATTGCTCTGGACAATCATATCCTCTCTTCTCCGTGAAACCTTCTCAGATCTTCACAGTTGAAAGTGATCTCTTTTCTTCTCTAAAATCCTGCACCATATCACAAATAACCATCCAGAGGCACTTTGGCTCACCTCTTGGTATTACTGCTAGGCTCCTCATGTACCTGAAGACTCTCTGTTACCAGTCAGCTCCTTGAAGAAAGAGACTGTGACTATTCCATCTTAGTATTCCCAACAGCTTGGCAAAGTCCCTGGCACAAAGCAAGCTTCCAAAAATACATGAGGAGGTGATGTAGCAGTCTGAATAATGGTCCCCAAAGATATTAGGTTTTCATCCTTGGAAATTGTAAATGTTACTTTATATGGAAAATGTCTTTTCCAACATGATTACATTAAAGGTCCTGAGATGCAAGATTATTTGGATAGGTCCTAAATGTAATCACAAGTATCCTTATAAGAAAGAGGCAGAGGGAGATTTGACATACATAGAGAAGGAGAAAGCAATGTGACCAGAGAGGCAGACATTGGAACAATGTAGCCACAAGCCAAGGAATGCTGGCTGTCACCAAAATCTGGAAGAGGCAAGAAACTGATTCTCCCCTAGAGCTTCCAGAGGGGATGCCACTCTCCTGACACACTGATTTCAGCCCAGTGATTCTAGTTTCAGACTTCTGGCATCCAGAACTGTGAAAGAATATATTTCTGTTAAGCTACTAAGGTTGTGGTAATTTGTCACAGCAGACACAGGAAACTAAAATAAATGATCACAGCTAAAAGTTGGGGATGGCTTTTGGGGGCATCACCTTGGCTAGTTACAGGGTCTGGTTATTCAGCAAAACACACTATCTAGGTAGTGGGGTAAAGGGATTTAGTAGATGTAATTAAAGTCCCTAATCAGTTGACTTTAAGTAAGAGAGACGATCCTGGGTGATTCTAACTTTATCAAGTGGAAGACTTTAAAAGCAGGAATGAGGCTTTCCCAAACATCATGAACATAACCATGTAGTTCCAGCCTGCTTGTGACCTTCCCATCCAGAAAACTCATGGACAATAGCTTCAGCTCATGCCTGTGAGTTCAAGCTTCCTCATGATCCCTGCCTGCCCCTGTTAAATCCAGGTGAAAACACAGATATTGAGCATTTACTCTGAAGCAGGTAATATATGTACATTACATTGTTTAATCCTGACATCAGTCTTATGAGTTAGGTATGATTATTATCCCATTTTATATATAAGAACATTTACATTTAGAGGGATGAACTTAATTACACAAAGTCACATAGCTAAAAGAGGTCAGTGTTGGCATTCAAACTCAGGCAGTCTGATTCCAGAGCCTCAATCACTATACCAAAGTGCTTCCCAACAAACTAGTGCCATAAGTGTGTACAAGTCAGAGTGGGAGAATCATTGCAAGGAGACTTCCAATCCACTTAAATGTTTCAGGCTTATTAAGGGGAAACACAAAACAGAGGAATTTGCTTTAGGATGAGCATGAGTCCCATAAATTTGGAACATTCAAGGCAAACCTGGAAGGTATAGAAAAGAGTTGTTTCCCAAGTAAGTTTGAGGACTTCAGCCCAGCTAAGCTCAAAGCTTCCTCTGCCCCTCCTCCATTGGTAGGGTCACTTGGGCGACCTTCCTTGCTGCCCTTTCTCTCTGAGGCAGCAACTGGAACTGCACAGATGTGCAAGACAGCAGGGGATGAACAGCCCTAGTGATAAAATAGAGAAATTTTGGAGCCCTCCACTGGGTTTCCACATACTCTCCCATAATAATGAGAAATAGGACTTTATCAGCATTTGCCCCAGGGTGCTAATTAAATATGCTAAGAGTAAGATTCTCGTATCTGGCATCTTGTAGCTAAAAAGAAATTTTCTCACCGCCAAAGAGAGTACTCTGCCTAGTTGAGAAGCTTTTACACAAAGAAAACTCATTCTAACATTCTTATTTTAGAGAATTCAGCATAGGTTGGTTCTAAGGCAGTCAGAGGTGAGGATGGAAACTGCCTAAAGAACCAGAAAGACCTTAAAATGAGGGAATTTCTTCTTTAAGCCAGTCCTGCTGCTATGGTGGTTGGGAATTCATCAATGCAGGGTTCTAGACTCAACTCATTAAATACATGATGTTGGTAAATTACTTACTTTCCCACAAGGAAAATAGGTTAATTGGGTTTTTTTATATTATGGCATAATACACGTTCATTTAATAAATTTTAAAAATATATAGAACATGGAAAAACAGTAAAGTTCACTTGGACTCTCACAACTCAAAGAGAACGGACATTAACATTTTGTTAGGCAAGTTAACTAACGTGTTTTTGCCTGGCTATCTTCATCCAAAAATGGGAACAAATAACAGTCTTCCTCAGAAGTGATAGAGGAAATGCATGAGATAAATCAGGTAAAGCACTAAGCATAGGGCATACCTAATAAGGCTCTCCTATGCTAGTGTGACTACCATCCCAGTTTGCCAGGGGCTCTCTTGGTTTTAGTAGTCAGAGTCCTACATCCTGGGAAACTGGGATGGTGGGCATAACCCCACAGGAAGGATAACAGTGAAGTATCATGTTCACTGGAGCATAGACAGTGCTGGGTAGTACATGAATGCTCTTTTAACAACAGGGAGTCATCGTATGACTTGCCTTGGATTCATTGTCCTTGTCTGACACAGGCCTGCTTGGTCCAGCTTGCACTGAATGGGGAAGTCTCAAAGCCAGTGCTCCAGCCTCAGAAAGGCATTATCTTGTATAAAACCATCATTCATCCAGAACAGTGCTGCTTTTCTAGCAAACTGCACTTCAGTTCTGCCTACCAATGTCTCCAAGTTGAAGGAAGGAGCAAGAGCATTGGACTCGCTGAACTACTAGTCTCTCTTGAAAAGCAGAAAAGAAATCAAGCGCTTAGCACGGAGCCCCCTGTGAACTGCAGGCTCCCAACTGCTTTCCCAGCCAAATAATATTGATTTTCTGGCTCCATTTCATTTTAGTCCTTTAACTGCTCACATCTCTGGATGGCATTGGCACAGCAAGACACAAGTTCCATCATCATGGTGTCAATTCTGCCTTCAAAACTCAGCTTTGTTCCAACTCTGTCAGGGTTAGAAGCAGCAGAGGTTGTAATGGTATTTTCTTAGCCACCCCCTCAGCCTGCTGATCTTTGTTCAGCTAGGGGAATGCTCATTCTTAACGAGTCAGATAATTCCTTTTCTGTGCCCTTCGTTCAATAGATCCCTCATTTTAGACATCCTGACAAATGTTCAAATGAAATTTCCTTTGGCTACAACTTGTCCCAACCTTTCTTGTTATCATCTCAGCCCTTCTATCATCTAAACAAGGACCTGCCAACTTCTTGTGTATTAATGCCCTTCATCTCCCTTTCTCTCCATATTATTTTTCACTTGGCTTCTCTCAATTACTGTTCTCTGTGCTCTCCTGGAGATCCTTAATTATCTTGACTCTAGTGAATTTAAACCTTTGGACTAACAAGTGCTCTGAGCTGTTTTCTTTCTCCTGGGAAACCAACTGGAAAGTCATCCAGACATGCTGACCCAGCCATATTTCAAATTAGCACCAGAGAAGCTGTGAAAGAGCCTCCAATCTCTAAGGATCCCTAGAGATTCAATTGAGTATCCCTGAATTTGAGGAACACACACACACATCCACATTCACATGCACATACACACACACTTCCACAGCCTAAAGGTCCAGGTGACATTAACAACAACCATAAAAATATCTGTATCCTTGACACCATCTGATCATGTAAAACTTCAGCCTCTGACAAAGACCCCCAACCCCCACAAGCATTTATGGGAGTTTATTTATATGTACACAGGCAAATCTAGTCAGGAACTATGAGTCTTTTGTGGGCACACTACTACCACACTGCCTCTGCTGTCTTCTCTCAGGTTACTATAGTTTCCTACCTGATGCCATTACCTGCTCTCTGGAACAACCAAAACTGGAAAGTGGTCTGTGGCACCAAGGGGTGGGATAACCAGCACAGCACTGCCAGACCCCTCCAATTGAGTGTAATATAAAGTGGAGAGAGTAGTAATGAAATACATTGCAGGACGTCCTCTCTTCCCCCGCAGCTCAGCTACAATTCCATGGAATTGAGCGGGGCATAGACCAGAGGGACTGGTACCACATTACATGCAGAATCATACCTACTCTTGCCCCACCTCCATCACCAAAACCATGTAAATAGTCCAAGCCCTTCATGCACATATATTTCTCCCTTTAAGATACTTTCCTACCCAAAGTGGCTCCCCACACAAATAGACCTCTACAAACTGCCTTCATGTTCCATTCACTCACCCCTACCTCACCCACCCAAGATCCCAGATCTCCAGGCATACCCAAATCCAATAATGTGCAGAGCATAAGTTCCACTGCATTTTCATACTTACATATTATTTTTAAGTGATTCATTTCAAAGCTGGAGCACAGTTCTAGACTCTGAGGATTCAAAAATAAAAGACATGAGACATTACTGCATTTCCTTGGATTGAATTTTTCATCATCTGAGATTTGTGTCTCCAAAGGGCTGTATGGGTCCTATGAAAGTACAATAAGCCCAGGATCTGGGATGTTGTGCTACCCTGATCAATGTGGGTGCTTTTGTAAGTTTTCCCCGGAACAAGAGTTCATGTCCTGTCATAAGATCCAGGGATCCCATAGAAAGAAATTGATCCTAATAGTATGCAGAATGAATACAATAAGGAAAATGGCTGAAACAAATTGATCTGGACACCACATTAATAGCTTTTTTGTAGAAGAAAATGAATTCAGGAGTAAAAAATAGAAGTTAATGAAGGCACCCTAGGCAAAGCCCTCCACCTCCTCCTAAATGATGGTTTTAGTAGGGTCTAGCCTCCCCTCAAAGATGACCAATGGTACTGCTAAGAACCCTGAAAGATAATGTACAATTTGAATAGGATAAGCAGACTCAGAAGGCTCTACAGGCTATGAGCATAGTCACTTCTCAAGGGAAGTAGTAAATTTCCACAGCCACTACAGATCATTTGGCTGATATTTCAATACCACAGTCTATGTCTTCAAAGAATATTTATAGCTTTAATGGCATTAAGGTGACTGAACTCCCTGGGACTCCTGAACTTTTATTTGTTAGTAAAAAGCATTAATCATCTTGATGCCAGATTAGCCTATGGGGATTTTTTCCTTAGAAACTAATACCTCATTCTCAGTTATCTTCAGCTGCGGAGCCTCAGCCCCAGCAAGGCTAGATCAGCCTAAGTGGAACTGAACACCTTTCAAGGGAGCAGCAAAGGTCACATAGGGATGGGAGGAATGTGTCATAGCAGGATTTTCTTCCTTTCCTTGTCTTGGATGTGCCCAAGGCAGAATCTGGGTCACCCCCTTGAGATTTCCTACCTAATACTTGCAGATACCTAATAATATAAAATTAAAGCAAGAGAGGGTCAAGATGGCAGACTAGAAGTAACTGGTATGTGCCGCTCTCACAGAGAGAGTGGTGAGTAAACACAGACACCACAAGCCAATTGTCTGAAAAACCTCCTAGGGATCCATCAAGGAAGTGAGGGGACACTGAGAACAGAGAACAGTGAAGCTTGGCAGCAGCACATCTGGGATCAACAAGAAGCCAAAAGGAGCTCCCCAACATGGAGAAAAGGTGAACGAGTGAGAGACCCTGGGGGATTCACACTTCCCACAGGGACCTGTACAATCCTGGAAACGAGAGAATCACCTTGGCCCCCTGGGCCTCTAGATTGATACAAAGAGCCACCTAGAGTTTTTATAAAGGTGACACTCAAGTCCATGGGGACCTCCCACAGGCCTTGGACCCTGGACCAGCCCAGTGCTAGCTGCCATAGCCATGATAGAGGCCATAGTCATGGTGTCTGGAAGCAGTAAGTTTAGACCATTCCCCCTGACAGACAAGGCTCGGTGCTAGCTTCCAGCACAGCAGCTCAGCTTCTGGCTGAACTCTGCCAGGGGACACAGCTCCATGTTCCCCCAGGAAGCACCTGAATGGTGGAACAGGAGACCTCACCCACCCTCATTGCTTCTTGCTTGGTGGGACACACCAGCTGGGGTTTCCGGCACACAGTCTTGCCTCTAGCAAAATTCTGTGGGTGGGCACAGCCCCATGTTCCCCTAGGAAGCACTCAAACGGTGGATCAGATGACACCACCCACTCCTGCTACTCCTAGCTGAGTGGGACTTGCTAGCTTGGTTGGCGCCCAAGCAGGTGGGGAGCCTTCACTCTTAGAATACTGTGAGGGCTGAGATGCCTGAGTTCTCACAGGCCAGCAGGGGAGTAGGACAAGCCTCCCTGCACCAGGTAGGCCTGGGAAGGGTATGGCCTGTCTGCCAACCATATCCCCTTCCTGAGGGAGCCTTGTGGCCCAGAACACCTAACAAAGAAAATGCTGGCATGAAAACAGTTATTGGAGGGGGCTCCTCCAAGACCCAGGAGCAGAACAGGTGAGGGAGTCATCTCTCTCCCTCATACCCATACAGCACTATAGCCAAAATGCACCAAAATGTAAAAGATCCATGGGCTAAGAGTCTATCTGCTGGCCACAACTCTTAACTTCCACCTACTGAATAACAGCCCAAATCACAACACTAAAATATTTTGCCAATATACAGCACCTGTGAAAACTAAAGGAAAAAAATCAGCCACAAAAAAAAAAGATCTGCACAGAGTCTTGGCCATCTGAAAGCATCCAGAAACAAAGCCAACTGACTATACTCAACTTACGTCACAGTTAAAGAAACACTAGCCCTTGCACATGAGAAAGAATCAGTGCAAGAGCTCTAGCAACTCAAAACGCCACTGTGTGCCCTTACTTACAAATGAACACACTAGTTCCCCAGAAATGGTTCTTAACCAGATTGAGATAACTGAAATGTCAGCCACAGAATTCAGAATATGGATGGCAAGGAAGTTCATCAAGATCAAGGAGAAAGTTGAAACCCAATCCAAGGAATAAAAGGAATACAGTTAAACAACCTGGGAGCTGAAAGATGAAATAATCATTTTAAGAAAAAAAAACAGAATAAACTTCTAGAACTGAAGAATTTACTTCAAAACATTTATAATATAATCAGAAGCATAAACAGCAGAATCGACCAAGCTGAGGAAAGAATCTCAGAGCTTGAAGATTGGTTCTTTGAAGCAACTCAGTCAGACAAAAACAAAGAAAAAATAATGTTAAAAAATGAACAAAATGTCTGAGAAATATGAGATTATGTAAAGAGACCAAATCTATGACTCATGAATATTTCTGAAAGAAAAAGAGAGAAACCTGGAAAACATAATTGAGAATATAGTCCATGAAAATTTCCCTAATCTAGCTAGAGAGAAGGGCATATCACGAAATACAGAGAACCACTGCAAAATATTATACAAGCCAACCACTCCCAAAGAATATAGTTATCAAATTCGCCATGGTGAATTCAAAAGAAAAAATATTGAAGGCAGCCAGAGGAAAAGGTCAGGTCACCTAAAAAGGGAACCTCATCAGGCAAGCAGCAGACCTCTCAACAGAAACCTTACAAACTAGGAGAGACTGGGGGCATGTTTAAGCATTCTTAGAGAAAAGAAATTCCACCCAAGAATCTCATATCCCACTAAACTAACTTTCTTGAGCAAAGGAGATATAAAATCCTTCTCAAACAAGCAAGCACTAAGGGAATTTGTTACCACCAAACAAGCCATACAAAAGGCCCTAAAAGGAAGGTAAACATGGACACAAAACATTGAAACCTGCTACCACACACACCAAAAAAAAATACTCATACACATCACTCACAGGCAATATGAAGCAATTTTACAAGCAAGTCTACAAAACAAACAACAGCAATATGACAACAAAATCAAAATCTTGTATATTAACACTAACCCTGAATGTAAATGATCTAAACACCCATCTTAAAAGACATAGAGTGGCAAGCTGTATAAAAAGACAAGACCCAACTGTCTGCTGTCTTCAAGAGACACATCTCACATGTAATGACACCCACGGGCTAGAAGTAAGGGAATGGAGAAAGATCTAACATGCAAACAAAAAAAAAACAAAAAAAAAGCAAGAGTCACGATTCTAATATCAGATAAAACAGACTTTAAACCAACGACAATCAGGAAAAACAAAGAAGGGCATTACATAATGATAAAGGGTTTATTTCGACAAAAAGAGTTTACTATCCTAATATATATGCACCTGACACTGGAGCACCCAGACATATATAACAAGTTTTTGACCTGCAAAAAGATTCAGACAGCCACACAATAACATAGGGGACTTCAGCACCCAATTGACAGTGCCAAATAGATCATTGAGGAAGAAAACTAACAAAGATATTCTGAACTTAAACTTGACACTTGCCCAATTGGGCCTAATAGACATCTACAGAATATTCCATCCAACAACCACAGAATATACATTCTTTTCATCTACACATGGAACATAGTCTAAAATCGACCATATGCTTGGTCATAAGGCAAGTCTCAATAAATTCAAAAAAAAATTTAAATCATACTAAGCACACTCTTGGACCACAGTGAAAAAACAAAAAAACAAAAAACAAATAACAAAAAAAAACAAGAATATCTCTCAAAACTGTATAAGAACATGGAAAACAAACAATTTGCTTCTAAATAACTATTTATTAAATAGTAATAAATAACTATTGGGTGAACAACACAATTAGGGCAGAAATTAAAAAGGTCCTTGAAATTAATGAAAATAGAGAGACAACTTACCAAAATCTTTGGAAAGCAGCTAAAACAGTGTTAAGAGGAAACTTTATAGTGCTAAATGCCTTCATGAAGAGGTTAGAAAGATCTCAAATTAATGACGTAACATTGCACCGAGAAGATCTAGGAAAACAAGAATGATCCAACCCCAAAGATAGTAGAAGAAAAGAAATAAATAAAATCAGAGAAGAACTGAATGAAATGGAGACCAAAAAGTCCACACAAAAGATTAATGAAACCAAGAATTGTTTCTTCAAAGGAATAAACAAGATTGATAGATCGCTAGCTAGATTAATAAAGAAAAGAAAAAGGATCCAAATAAGCTCAATCAGAAATAACAAAGATGACATTACAAATGATCCCACAGAAATACAAGACATCCTCAGAGACTACCATGAACACCTCTATGCACACAAATTAGAAAATCTAGAAGAAATTAATAAATTTCTGGAAACACACAACCTCCCAAGATTTAACCAGGAAGAAAGTGAAAACCTGAACAGACAAATAACATATTCCAAAATTGAATCAGTAATTTTAAAAACCTACCAACCTAAAAGAGCCCAGGAATAGATGGATTCTGACATGGTCTGGCTCTGTGTGCCCACCCAAATCTCATCTTGAATTGTAATCTGAATTGTAATCCCCACGTGTTGGGGGACGGAACTCGTGGGAGGTGATTAGATTATTGTGATGGTCCCCCTATGCTGTTCTCATGATAGAGAGTGAGTTCTCACGAGATCTGAAGATTTTATAAGGGGCTTTCCCCCTTCACCCATTCTTCTCTCTCCTGTCGCCATGTGAAGATCTGTTGCTTCCCGTTCTGCCGTGATTGTAACATTCCTGAGGCCTCCCCAGCCACATGGAACTGCAATTAAACCCTTTTTCTGTATTAATTAGCCAATCTCAGGAATTTATTTATAGCAGCATGAGAACAAACTAATACAGATTCACAGCCAAATTCTACCAGTCATGCAAATAATTGATACGAATCCTACTGAAACTATCTCAAAACATTTAGGAAAGGAGGCTTCTCCCTAATTCAATCTATGAAGCCAGCATCATCTTGATATCAAAATCTGTCAGAGACACAACAAAAAAAGAAACCTTTAGGCCTATATCCATGATGAAGATAAACACAAAAATCCTCCAAAAATACTAGCATACAAAATCCTGTAGCACATCAAAAAGTTAATTCACCATGATCAAGTAGGCTTTATTCCAAGGATGCAAGGTTAATTCAACACACACAAATCAATAAATGTGATTCACCACACAAGCAGAATCAAAAATAAAAATCATATGATTACCTCATAGAGGCAGAAAAATATTTCAATAAAATCCAACATTCCATCATGATAAAAATCCTCAACAGACTAGGCAGCAAAGGAACATACTTCAAAATACGAAGAGCCATCTATGACAAATCCACAACCAACATTATACTGAACAGGCAAAAGCTGGTACCATTTCCCTGGAGAACTGGAACAAGACAAGGATGCCTACTCTCACCACTCCTGTTCAACATAGTAGAGGAAGTCCTAGCCAGAGCAATCAGGCAGAGAAAGAAATAAAAGTCATCCAAATAGGAAAATAAAAAGTCAAACTATCTCTCTTTGCTGATGATATAATTCTATATATAGAAAACCCTAAAGATTCTCCCAAAAGGCTCCTGGAACTGATAAACATTCAGTAAAGTTTCAGGATATAAAATTAATGTACAAAAATTAGTAGCATTTCTATACATCAGTGACATTCTAGCTGAGAACCAACTTAAGAACACAATCCCATTTACAATAGCCAGAAAAAATGAAGTATCTAGGAATTTATGTAACCAAGGATGTGAAAGATCTCTACAAGGAGAATGACAAAACACTGCTGAAAGAAATCAGAGATGACACAAATATATGGAAAAATATCCTATGCTCACTGATTTGAAAAATCAATATTGTTAAAATGGTCATACTGCCCAAAGCAACTTACAGATTCAATGCTATCCCTATCAAAATACCAATGTCATTTTTCACAGAATTAGAAAAATCTACTCTGAAATTAATATGGAATCAAAAAAGCATCCAAATAGTCAAAGCAATCCTAAACAAAAAGAACAAGCCACAAGCATCATATGGCCAGATATTAAACTATACTATAAGGCTAAGAAGCCAAGCCAGCATGGTACTGGTACAAAAACAGACACATAGAAAAATGGAACAGAATAAAGAGCACAGAAATAAAGTCACATACCTGTAACCATTCGATCTTTGACAAAACTGACCAAAATAAGCAATGGGAAAGGACTACCTATTCAATAAATGATACTGGGATGACTAGCTAGCCATATGCAGAAGAATGAAACTGGAACTCCTACCTCTCAACATGTACAAAAATTAACTCAAGATAGATTAAAGACTTAAATGTAAAACCTTAAACTATAAAAATCCTAGAAGATAACCTAGGAATTTCCCTTCTCGACATGGGCTTTGGCAAATAATTTAAGGCTATGTCTCTAAAAGCAATTACAACAAAAACAAAAAGGACCTAATTAAACTAAAGAGCTTCTGCACAGCAAAAGAAATTACCAACAAAGTAAACAGACTACAGAATGGGAGAAAATATTCACAAATTATACATCTGACAAGTCTAATATCCAGAATCTAGAAGGAATTTAAATCAACAAGCAAAAAACAAACTAACTAATTAAAAAGTAGGCAAAGGAAATGAACAGACACTTCTCAAAAGAAGACATACAAGTGGCCAACAAACATGAAAAAATGATTGACATCATTAATCATCAGAGAAATGAAAACCAAACAGCAATGAGATACCATCTCACACTAGTCAGAGTGGCGATTATTAAAAAGTCAAAAAATAACAGATGCTGCTGGCAAGGTTGCAGAGAAAAGGGAACACTTACTCATTGCTGGTAGGAATGCAAACTAGGTCAGCCACTGTGGAAAGCAGTTTGGAGATTTCTCAAAGAACGGAAAACAGAACTACCATTCAACTTAGCAATCCCACCACTGGGTATATACCCAAAGGAAAATAATTTATTATATCAAAAAGAAACATGCACCTGTGTGTTCATTGCAGTGCTAGCTATAATAGCAAAGACATGGAATCAACATAGGTAGGTACCCTTCAACAGCGGCTTGGATAAAGAAAATGTGTTACATATATACCATAGAATACTGTGCAATAATCAAAAAGAATAAAATTATATACTTTGCAGCAACGTGGATGGAGCTGGAGGCCATTATCCTAAGCAAATTAATGCAAAAACAGAAAAACAAATGCCACATATTCTCACATATAAGTGGGAGCTAAACATTGAATACACATAGACATAAAGATGGGGAACACTGGCGACTACTAGACAGGAGAGGGAAGGAGGGAGGCAGGCATGGGCTAAAAAACCATATATTGGGTACTATGCTCACCACCTGTGTAATGAGACCAGTTGTACCATAAGCCTCAACATCATGCAATATGTAACATGTAACAAACCTGCATGTGTATCCCTTAAACTATAGTAAAAGTTGAAATTACAAATAATTATATTTAAATTAAAACACCCAATTCTCCCAGAATTCCTATTCGCTACTACACTTTTATTTACTTCCACAGCAATACTATTATTTAATTTATGTGAATATGTAGTGTCCATGTCCCTCCACTAGAATGTAAGCTCAATGGGGCAGGGGTTTGTATTTGTTTTGTTCACCAATGTACTCCTAGTGCCTAAGTGCCTGGAACATACTGGAACATGGTAGGTGCTCAATAAACATTTGTTGCATGTGTGAATGATGAGAGTGAATGAATGATGAGAATAATAGAATCTCAAGACTGAAAGGAAACTACCAAGTCACCCGATGACACAATCTCTTTTCTTTCACTTACTGGCTCTGATAATGGTAATAGACAAGGTGGGTGACAGAGGAAATAATTCAGGAATCTAACTGGGAAATTACCTGAGAAAATTTGGATCTTCATGCCCAGGAGGAAGGGGAGAGGGCAACAGATGGGGCCTGAGAATGTAAACACTCAGCCTCGTGTCTTTGTTTTCCTGATGGGTCCAACTAGAGAAGAATGAGGAGGATTCACAATGCAGTATGTACTCTGCAGTTGATCGTCAGTCTCAGGTATTTATTGGCCACTTACCATATTCCCATAGACATTAGTGACCAGTTTCTATATGACAAGCACCCTATCAAGCACATAGGATAGTAAATGGGACAGACCCAGACCCTGCACTCTTGGAGCTTAAAGTCTATTAGGGAAAACAGCCATCCAGAAGTTCCTTGCAATTGTGGAAGTGCCATTACACGCATGTGTAGAGTGCCCTAGGGGCATGTCAAAAGACCACCTAAGCTTCCTATAGAATCAAAGAAAGCCACCCAAAAAAGCACTGAAGCTCTTCTGTAACCCTTTCAATGCATAAAATGCAAAAGTAAGTCTGAAGGTAAGACCCCAAAGGAACAGGGTCCTAGTCCTGGAAGTGGATTTTGGACCCTCAGCTTACTGTGTGACCTCTAGGCAAGTCACTCTGCTTCTCAGAGTTTCAATTTCTTTATCTTGTTTGTGATTTCAGATGCTGATATTTTATCATTTCTGGAAGACATAAGAATCCAGTTAGTCAAAGTCCAGAATACAAATTAGATGAGAGGATTGATTCTTACCATAGGAAACATATGTGTTGAGGATGAATTACTTTGGTAGTTGATGAGAGAAGAAAACTGGAACAATATGAGGAGGGACTTGGGAGTAGGGAGGAGGAGTGGGGCATGGGATGGGACTGAGGGTTTTGACTGTGACAACTTTTGAACTGAAAGACAACTAGAACAAACATTTTAACAATAAATAATATTTGTTGGTATTTAGAACTTTGATACCTACACTATCTAATTTAATCCTCACCAAAAGTCTGTGAATTATGATTGCACCTGTCTTGCAATTAAAAAAACTGAGTTTGAAAGCATCAAATCAGAATATGGCAAAGCAGAATGTAAACTCATGCTCCCAGCTCTAGAATCCCACTAGGAAACTCAGCAAAGAAGATGCTTATAAGCTGCTGTATAGAGATGGCTCTGGAAGGTTCTGGTTCTGATCCCAGATGCAGTGCAGGGAAACTACCATCAGAGAAGGAAAAAGTCACTGCTGAATCCTTAACCAAAACAGACTAACAGAAAGCTCCAACTATGGGCAGCTGGGAGCTATGGACAGGAGTAGAAACTTCAGAGAAGACCACTGCCTACTCAGCAAGAGACATCATTTTAAGACAAGAAGGGTCCATCCTCCTTCACTCAGCATGATGGGGCTGGGACTGAGGGAAGCCATTATTGCGTTTGTTCACTTATTCAGCAAACGTTCCTCAAAATTCTACTATGTTCCAGCCCTAGCCTATGATTAAAGAAAAGGGAACACTTGTACACTGCTGCTGGGAATGAAAATTGGTATAGCCATATGGAAAACAGTATGGAGGAGGTTCCTCAAAAAAATAAAAATTCATTGATACCATTTCTGGATATATATATAAAGAATATGATATCAGTATCTAAAAAAGATATCTCTACTTCCATGTTCATTGCAGTATTATTCACAATGGCCGAGATATGGAAACAACCTAAATGTCTGTCAATGGATGAATGAAAAAAAAAAAGCTTATCATCACTGGTCATAAGAGAAATGCAAATCAAAACAACAATGAGATACCATCTCACACCCATTAGAATGTTGATCATTAAAAGGTCAGGAAACAACAGATGCTGGAGAGGATGTGGAGAAATAGGAACGCTTTTACAGTGTTGGTAAGAGTGTAAATTAGTTCAACTATTGTGGAAGACAGTGTGGTGATTCCTCAAGGATCTAGAACAAGAAATGCCATTTGACCCAGCAATCCCATTACTGGGCATATATCCATAGGATTATAACTCATTCCACTATAAAGACACTTGCACACATATGTTTATTGCAGCACTATTCACAACAGCAAAGACTTGGAAAAACCCAAATGCCCATCAGTGTTAGACTGGATAAAGAAAATGTGGCACATATACACCATGAAATACTATACAGCCATAAAAAAGAATGAGTTCGTGTCCTTTGCAGGGACATGGATGAAGCTGGAAACCATCATTCTCAGCAAACTAACACAGGAACCGAAAACCAAACACTGCATGTTCTCACTCATAAGTGGGAGTTGAACAATGAGAACACTTGGACACAGGGAGGGGAACATCACACACTGGGGCTTGTTGGCGGGTGGGGGGCAAGAGAAGGGATAGCATTAGGAGAAATACCTAATGTAGATAACGGGTTGATGGGTGCAGCAAACCACCATGGCACATGTATACCTATGTAACAAACCTACACGTTCTGCACATGGATCCCAGAACTTAAAGTATCACAAAAAAAAAGAAAATGTGATACACATACAGATACTGATACAGACATATATATATATAGACATAGGTATATCTATACTTTGATATACCTATATAGAGAGATATATAGATATATTAGATATTTATATGTAGATATATATCAATATATGAGACACAGATATTGATATATAAACGTATATAGATCAATATATGATATATAGATATATTATTGTATCGATATACAAATTGATAAATATATGTAGATTGATACATGTATATGTAGGCATAGGTACATCCATAGAGGTACATCTATATATTTACATTATATAATATCAATATTATATATAGATATATTTATGTCTACATACATTAATATATCTATATATTTATATATCAATATACAGATATACCTATTTCTACATATATGTCTATATCTATATCCGTATCCACATGTATATTGATATACATGTATATTTGTATATCAATATACATATTATACATATGTATATATTTATGATATATTCAATATATAGATATAACCATATTTAATATAGCTCTAGATCCATATAATATATATTATATATACCATATTTATATATCTATATAAATATACTGATATATTTACTAATATATAAATATATTGATATATTCTACATAGTGATGTACTGATATATTCTATATAGTGATATATAGATCAGTACAGACATAAATAGGTATATAGATTGATATACATGTATATGTATGTAAAATGAGATATCATTCAGACTCAAAAAAGGAAAAAATTTTTGCCATTTGCAAAAACATTATTAACCTGGAGGACATTATGCTAACTGAAATAAGCTAGACACAGAAAGACAAATACCGCATGATCTCACTTCTATATGGAATCTAAAATAGTCAAACTCACAGAAGCTGGAGTAGAACAGTGGCTATCAGAGACTGAAGGGAGGGAAAATGGGGAGATGTTGGTAAAGGGTATAAACTTTCCGTTTTACAAGACGAATATGTTCTGATGATTTCATGTACACCAATGTAACTATAGTTAACAATACTACATTGTAAACTAGAAATTTGCTAAGCAGGTAAACCTTAAGTGCTCTCACCAGTAAAAAGAAAAACAGAAAAATAAAATGGTAACTAAGTGAGGTGCTGGATATAAATTAGCTTGATTGTGGTGATTCTTTCACAGGTATACATATACCAAAACACCAAGTTACCTTAAATATATATAATTTTTATTTATCAATTATACTTCAATAAAGCTGAAAAGAAAGTAAGGTCTCTATAAATGGTTGAAATTAAATATAAAAAAGTCTTTTTAAAAGACCTTTTAAAAAGAAATGTAAAATGTGCTTTCTCTCAAGAAACATAGAGGGTGGTTTCGTATAATGAATAAGGGTAAATTTACCTCCATGAGTCTGGGCTCCACTGTGTACCAATTTTGTGACTTTAAGCAAGTTTTTTAAACTCTCTGTACCCTATTTTCTCATGAGCAAAATGGAAATGATGATAATATCTACCTCATAAATGCCTAGGGATTAAAAATGCACATTGCACAGTCACAGTCCCTAGCACATCAGAAGGGCCCAATAAATGTGAACTGTCATTGTGATGTAAGATGTGTCTTGACAGAATGATAGAAGTTTGTCAAGAAAACAAGGAAGGCAAGAGCAAGGCAAAAAAAAAAAAGATATTATTTATATATAAAGTCTCGGAGTATAGGAATGCTTGAGACATTTGAAGGATGCCAAACTGGAGCTCAGGGTGCAAGTTGTCAGCAATGAGAGATGGAGGTGAAAAGATGAGGAAGGCTCAGTTCCTGAAGGACCTTTAAACCCTGCTAAGGAGTTTGGACTTCCACCTAGAGACACTTTAAGCAACAAAATAACAGGATCCGATCTGCATTTCACAAACATATTATTGTCTTCTGTCACAGGTTTCCCAGAAGCAACTCTAAGTTGGAGACTGGCTTTGCAGGATGTTTATTAAGGAGTGCCCGTGGGACCAACCTCTGGGAGAGAGGGAGGAAAGAAGCAGAATTGGGCAAGGGAGAAGTTGGCGGCAATGCCATCCCTACAATGTATTGCCAACTGAGGAGTCATCAGGAGCCCTTCAGCATTATCTTAAGCTGGGGTAAGAAGGCCAGAACACTGTCCCCTTCATCAATCATTCATCGGATGTGGGCCACCCTGAGTAAAGGGATTGACACTGAGGGAGGTGGTCCTCTGTAGCTGAGGCAGTCCCAACAGCTGGGACAATAAGTCCTTCATCAAAGGAGGAATCTTGGCAGAACATCTCCAGGTCCACTACATTTTTCCTATTAATGACAAAGAATGACAATAACCTGCCAGAAAACTGAGCTGGAGTCTTCAGGTGCCATGCCAGGAGTGTACAGCCAGGTAATGCAACATGCACTTGAGTGCATACACCACACACAAACACACACACACATGCACACGTGCACGCACGCGCGCACACACACACACACACGCCAGTGTCTAAAAATGAAGAATTCCTAGGAGTAAGCCCCATCCGTTTATTCTGATTAGGCATAGCCAGCAGTTTCCCCTTTCTCCCTAGGTCTTCAGAGCCTTTCCAGCAGAGACAATTTTATTTATGATACCGAACGATACCTAAAAAGAAAAACGGCCCAGCCAGGAAAAAATGAGAAGCTCGGCTAGGAGTCTCCAAGGCTCCTCGATATATTTTGTACTCTTTTTTTTCGGGCAGAAATTTCCATTTACAAAATTCTTACAGCTCAATTTGTCTTCTGTTAGTTTTTCATTATTCCCATTTTTTAAGCACACACATACTCGTGACAAATTATCATTTTCTCTGATTCATGTATTCAATTAGTGTAGATATTAACTTGAGCTCACTGACCCATGGCAGTGAGTAAATGGGCACCTCCATCTGAAGTTACCTAAACTTTCCTGTATTAAATTAGCCTTTCACAAGCGTCAAATGGCTAGCATGGGGGATGACTTCTTAACATTTCTATTTGTGTGATATAGAAGTCTGAGACCTGCTGGTTCCTTTAAGCTCATAAACTTGCTAGAATGAGCTAAATCACAAGTGACAGTTGAAGAGAGTAGGATGCAGCATCAACATCAGAACTGAAATGATGAAGACAAGAGTGGAACAAGACCAAGGGCCTAAGGAACCTGGAATGGATATTTAAGAGCTAGAAAACACTGGGGACAATGCATGCTATGCCCTCGTTTTTCAAAAGGGAAAATAATAAAGCTGAGAAAGTTCAAGTGAATTGCCCAGATGGCTCAGTCCACTTGTGGCAGAGCTGAGACACAAATTTTTTGGCATCCAGCACTGGGTCTCTCCTCTGCTCCACCTACACGAAAATCATAATGGAACATCAGGACATTTGCTAGAATTGGAAACATTTCAAGGCACATCTGGGCAGGAAGTTATCACAAATATAAACATAGTTTTTCACTTACATTTATGACTCACCAATGAAATGATAGATTATTTTAAAGCTATCAAGGGAAGCCCCATGAAGGTTTATGTGGGGGTGGGAGAAATCAATCATCCTCCCCTGTCAAAGAGGCCATTGGGAGGCCTGCTCCCCTCTGGGTCTTTAGAGAACATGTCCTTATATCTTATGAAGCTGAAATTAATTCTATTATGCCCCATCACTTCACTCAAGTTTATTTCTTTTCAATTTCACAGCTAGTTGTGTCATTTTTGTTTATTTGTTGCCTTCTTTATTGTTTATTTCCCCTCACCCTCAGATTAAGAGGTCGAAAAGGGCAGAAAATGTGTTTTATTCATCCTCCTATTCTTAGCACACAGTAAACAGAAAAAAAATAGCTGTTGAAGGAATGAATGAATGACAAGTGAATGAACATACTGGACATATGATGACAATTAGCTACTTTTGTTCTGTCAATTTTTTTATCTTTATTGACAAAAATTGTATAAATTTACAATGTACAACATGATGTTTTGATATATGCATACACTGTGGAATGGCAAAATCAAGCTAATTAAAATGTCCATTACTTCTCATCGTTATTTTGTGGTAAAAACCTTTAAAATCTACTCTTAGCATACATACAATACATTGTCATTAACTATAGTTACCATGCTGTGCAACAGATCTGAATGTATTGCTTTTGCCTAACTACTTGATACTATGTTTCCTTTTCTAATCATCAAGTACCTTTTCTTCTTTTCTTCCCGCCCCTGTTCCCCATTCTCCCCATCATTATCATCCTGTTTCATCATTAATTTTTAAATAGGGAAACAGAGATACACAATGGTCATGTTTCTATCCAGCACTGCACAGCAAATTAAGGAGAACTAGAAGAAAACGGTGAAATTTATAAGCTTCTATCTCTTTCCACTGGAGCACACTACCTTACACACTCTTTGAGTTCTCTTCCTCCTTATACATAACACGTGTCTAGATGGTATTTCTTTATATAAATAGGTACAAATGCTCATTTCCACAATGTAGAAATAAGAGCATTTCCAAAAACGTGTTTGCTCTGTGAGCCATTGAGTGTCATAAGCTTCTCTAGAAAAAAAAAAATTGAGAAAGGCCATCAATAAGTTTGAGAAATGCTACCTACTTTATGTCCCCGTTGGACACTCACAATGTAGTTTAGAACCCTGAATACTGTGTCATGAAACTAATTTCATTTTGTTAGATACAATCTTCCAAATTTCTTTGATCAAAGGAACCTTATTTTGAACCTAACACCCACTCGTATACCTTGTAAGTAATGTTCACAAGCATAATTTGGAAAAGCTAAGATAGATAACAATGTGGACTCACTGCTGGAGGTGTGACTCACATAAATACTAAGGTTGCACTAATCAGGAGTTTCAACCTCGTGAACAAATGTACCTGTCCCTTTTAGGCACGAAGCCTCTCACTATCAATCTAATTTCAAAGACAAGTCTTGAAAAATCCATAGCCAAGTAGATTGCCATCTTGAAGTTCAGACAACTTATAGGATCTTGCATCTTATAAGAAGTGAAACTTTTTAAATAAAATTTCTCCATCTCCAAACCACTGGTTCCCTTTCTTAGAACTGAAACCCAAGTGATTCTCCTTATGATTCACAATTGTAGCATCTCAATCTCTACTCCTCAGTCTACTACCTCTGTGTAGGACCTTGGGCAAGTTAATCACTCTGTGCCTTCTCCTCATCTGTAACATCAGTTGTGCAAGAGCTATATTAGTTTTACGTGCAAACAGTTTATGATAATATTTGACATATTTATCTCTCAATAAAATAGCTATCATTTTTGCAGTTATTATCATCATCTTCACTATGCTGAATCTCCTTGGATGATTAGTTTCTCATTTATTATTTCAATATTCTATTAGCTATCTAAGCAAAAGTTGAGTTATTACCATTCCCATTTTTAAGACTGGATTTTAGAAACAAGGGTAAAATGAAAGAAATGTTGAACTTACATATACATTATTATTTAACAAACAATCAGGAAACTAATTAATAAGAAAAGAGCCAAATGAGCAATTGTTTAAAATGACTATAGAAGTCTAATTAATAAATTAATAAACTAATTTACTTCCTGTTTTTTCAACTGCCAACTTCAACCCATAAGTAAATAAACTTTCATCCTCATTATCAGCGTAAACATTTAAAAAGAGAATAATTATGACAACAAGATGGTCCTGATCATTAATTTTGCTTAAATTAATCAAGCATCATATGTCTGCAACTCTTCAGAAATAGCAGAGACGAAAAAAATTTAAGAATCTATGACATAAAATTCAATAACAATTACACTAATCCAGCGCACTCCTGAGAGTGCTGCCTCTGAGAACACACTCCTGCATGTATTTTACATTTATATTTATCACCCACTACAAATCAGGACCAAGCTAAGCATGCAGGAAGACCACAATCCGTCACCCTCATGAACCTCAGAGTCTAGTCATGGATAAAGTCAATTAGGACAAGATAGCTCAACAAGGGCAATGAGTACCATAGGGGCATAGCAGTCATACTGAAATACATCTTTTTTTCTGACCATTCAGTTAGTAAGAATAATTGCTCTATCTCTAAGGGCCATAGAAAGCAAATACAAAATGTTTTTGAGAGAAGAAGAATTAGATTTGCATGTCTTTAGAATGGTATAGCACTCTTAACTCAGCTTCATCCTCCCATCCAATCCTCACTGGTGTGGGGCAGGGAGCTCACTCAGCTCCAGAGGACTGATGTCCACATTTTATCTTCTCCTCCACTGAATATTCCACAGGATGTGCTGATCCCCAGTAATAGGTTTTCCAAGGAAGCATGAAAATAATAAAGTCTGATACATGTCTCATTTCATATAATGCAAGGCTTCAATGATGAAGGCTGCATAAGTTATACCTCCTCAAGGAGAAGCAAGTGACAACTCACAAATTTTAAGACCTGAAAGAATAGTAGAATAAGGCAATGATGACCTTATCTTCCAGACCAAATATCAGGACACAAAATCTAACAAAGAACTTTTTTCCACTTCTGGAAATTAGGCTGTCTGAGAGATATAGTTTAAATGCCAAAATATTGGCAGTTCTGGGACATTGATAGTATATGGAGACAACGGGACAGAATAGTTGAAATCAAGACTGTCCTAGAAAACCAAGAAATATCAATCCAGAAGAACTTGCACAAAAGACAAAGTCTTAAGACCTGTGAAGGCTAAAAACAGAGGGCAGGTGGGTAGATAGAGCAGGTTCAAAATGTTCAAGGAGACAGCCAATAAATATTTGAATCTTGAATGTCTTTAAGTACAAAATGAAAGATAGAAAAAAAAGAATTTCTTTACAATACTCTTAACCCAACTCAATTGATTCATTTTATCTCTCCGGTGGGGGGGGGGGTGTCTGTGTGTCTGTGTGTGTGTGTGTGTGTGTGTGTGTGTGTCTGTGTCTGTGTGTGTGTGAGAGAGAGAGAAAGGGAATATCTCAAGGTAAAGAAATCAATATATCCCCATGATCAACTATCTAAATGGAAATGAATCCACATTCATGTTTCCTTTTAGGTTCTTTTAGTTAACAAGCATCAGAGACCCTCTCAAGTTAACTTAAAAATGGAGGGTGTTTATTTATTGGAAGATAAATATATATGGATTATTAGGACTCTTTTTCCACTTCAGCTTCAATGATGGCAGAAACTGACTTAAACTAACAGATTTTCCAAGTTTCAAACTTAAATTCTCAGGAGAGTTATCTGATCTCCCCTCTTGTTTTTTCACACCAGCTCATACCACAGGTGGCTGGCCCAACTATGTGTTCTCACCCACCCCTGGTCTTGGAAATCATGTCTTGAGCAGGACTCTAGGCTGACTGATTTTACTAAGAGGGGACTGTAAAAGTATCTAGCATTGTTCCTAAGGGAAACTTATAGATACTTAAACTTCAAGGAGAATTTTGCAGCTCTTATTTCATTCCAAGTACACATAGCTATTCAAGATGTGCCTATAGGTGTCTGCATAGAGAACCATTTATTCAGAGTGTCACTGAAAAGATAGTAGCTGGTTATACTGCCTTCCATCCTCATGGTGGGTGCTGAACTATCTTCTCTGTGCCTGCAGTAGATGAGCTGTTGTACCTCCTTTCTTATTCCCTTTTAGATCACCAAGAGATGCTACCAGTATCAGAAATGGTGGGTGCCCTCCCAATGGCATCTCAGCCCCTTTCAATTGCACACAATTCGCATACTTTCCAATGGCACCCTATATCATCTTCTGGTTGTGGAGCCATGCTCAACCCCACATGGTAATATAGGTCAAAAGTTTCAGGGAGGTAATGCTGACAGAATTGACCCCACCAATGAAAGATGGAAAATGGTACATAGATATTTCAATTTCTTCATCTCATTGGAAGGACAATTCTGGAGTATATTTTACAATAATTTTTCAGGGATCCACAGTGTGATAAAGTTTCAACTGCCCATGGTGGTGATATGTTCATTAATTCATCCTTTATTAGCTTTTTCCCTTCCTTATTGCCTTTCTTCACTTCTGCCACAGGCTCCCAAACATCTCCCAAAGAAAGTATTTACACCCAAATCCTTGTCTCTGGGTTAGCTTTTATGAAAACAAACCAAAGGTAATACTCAAGGGAACATTTCATCCAATATCCCCCAATCTGCTTCACCAACCCACCTCTACTCCAGCAGCAACTACTCTTGCTCCTACATCTTGCTTTGATCCAAGCTCCAAAACTCATACCAAACCTATCTCTTCATCATTCTCCCAGAACCATTCCCTCTCCCCAAACCGTGCATTCCCTAACTTGGGTTATCCGAGTGGCATCCATTCTCACGTAGTCTTAAAATGTCGAAGTCGGCCAAATGCGGTGGCTCATGCCTATAGTCTCAGCACTTTGGGAGGCCAAGACAGGTGGATCACGAGGTCAGGAGTTCAAGACCAGCCTGGCCAAGATGGTGAAACCGCGACTCTACTAAAACTACAAAAATTAGCCAGGCGTGGTGGCAGGCGCCTGTAATCCCAGCTACTCAGGAGGCTGAGGCAGGAGAATTGCTTGAACCTGGAGGGCAGAGGTTGCAGTGAGCTGAGATCGCACCACTGCACTCCAGCCTGGGCGACAGAGTGAGACTCCGTCTCAAAAAAAAAAAAAAAAGTCTAAGCCTTCCTCTGAACGGATGCAGTTGGCCTCCATATTCTACTCCCAGAAGCTTGCTAGTTTCCACTGCCTGGTGTTTCTTTCTATAAGCTCTCCCTCAATGTGTAATGATGTCTATGATCCTAATTTATGTCAACTCTATACTGAGGACACATGGAAGAACTCTCGCTTAGCCCCTAACACCCACTGCCAGCACCCTTGACCCTGGACCTTCTCTTACTGTAGAAATTTTAAAAGGCAGGCACTTACTTGCATTTTCAACCTTCCTTACAGTTAAGGGTTCCATGGAGCTCAGTGCCTGCCAATAGACATAAGGAGATTTCTGAGATAGCTTTTCCCTCCCTGATAAAGAGAGGAAAATGACCCTCAGTAAGACCTCTGTCTCTTTCTCTTTCTCTCTCTCTCTTTTCTATATTTTCCTACCTTATCCTCTGGACATAATTGCATAAAGAAGAGGGTTTTGGGGCTGCAGAAGAAATCTGGTAAGCATGAGAAATATGACAAGCCAGGAGAATTATAGAGATGCCAACCCAACGAAACACCTTAACATCACAGAGCTAAGAAATGAACACTAACACTGCCTCCCTCCAGGCTTCTTCTTGTTTAAACAAGAACCCTTTGGTTTTTTAACCATTTTGAGGGGGTGGGGGGTTTAGTTTTTTAACCGTTTGGGTTAAGTCACTTTTTCTTTTACTTGCAGCCAAAATTATTCCCAACAGACACAGGGTAAAACATTGCAGAATGTGTGTTAGATTCTCCCTTAAGGAACAACTGTTTATTAATGATCTATTCATTGAAAATGGTGGTAAGAATACAGAATATGTATAAAGCAAAATTCCTTCACAGGATTGGAGGAAAATGAGAAGTTGTGATAAGGAGGCTGCCACAAGGGGGCACCCCCTGAAGCACCAGGACTGCTGCAGAAACTCCCGGAAGGGACAAGCTGCTGTGGACAGTGGTGGGAGGGACAGGCTTCCTGAGACAGCCTCATGGCCACATAAGATTTTAATACAGTAGATGGAGAAGACAGGGACGGGAATTCCAAGCAAAGGAATGTGTGAGATACAGTTCTTGGTATGATTTTATCGAACATACTGGGAAAAGCAAGTCAACCAATGTGGCTGCAAAAAGGGTTTGGTGTCCTGGGTATCATTGGGTCTTGGACACTGTTCTTTTGATTGCAAAACCCATAGTTGTTAATATATGCCAAGAAGGAAAGAGAGGGCCATTGTCTCAGAAGCCAGACATCACAGGCATGACAAATATAAGGAAATAATAATAATAGCCATTTGTTGAATACTGGAAGTGGTCATGATTATAAACATACTGTGCAAATCATTCCACATAATCCTCAATACAATCTTACAGATAAAGATAACATCTCCTGTTACTGCGGATAAGAAAACTAAAGTTCAAAATTTTTTTTTAAAAGATCACACCATTAGTAAGGGACAGAATCAGATTTCAAACTCAGGTCTCTCTGATTCTGATGCTTAGTGGAGAATGGATGAGCTGCCCTGCCTGTGGGCCTCTCTGACCCTCTGTGTTTCCCTCTATCACAGCACCCATTGCACTGACTGCAGACCTATCACCTCCCCTAGAATTCAGACGAACTGAGGTCAGCAAATATGACTCATTCACCCTGTGCCTCCCATCTCAACCCTAGTGCCTAGCAGCTTTCACAACCCATTGCCTCATTCATAAATGTTTACTGAATGAATGAAAGTCTTTACTCTCAAGTGTTGGTTGAGCTGATAGATCAAGAGAATCTTTATGTTTAAGTCATAACATCCAAGCAGGAGGCATGTGAAACTAAAGGCTGGATGGCTGGTTTGGACCAACTCACCCACAAAAGCTTCTTTATCGCCACACAGACTCTACTCTTGCCACCTAATCAATCCGAGACTGGAAATGAGTCAGGAAATAGGGATTTTACACAAGTGGCAGACAATAGGGTGCATCAGCACTAGCAGGACTCATCCCAGAGCACTGTGTGCCGCTGCTGAATCCACAAGGGAGCAACCAAGAAGATGAGAAGGGAAAGAGGGAACTCAAGGGAATCAGTGGGGAGATGGTCATGATTGAAGAGCTGCTCTTCATCGCCAGAGGCCAGCCTCAAAGACAGACTGCTTAAACTGTAGCGAGTAGGTTGAAGTCAGAGGAAAGATATTTTTGTCACAATACTCACCCAATGGAAACTCATACCATCCAGATTGGTATTCAGCAGTTCTACGCACCAGACAACAAGGATGCAAAGGCAGAGAAGACATGCCCTCTGTACTCCTGTGGCCCAGTCTCATCAGGCAGACCACCAAACCAACAACTATGATTCAGGGGATGGCTGATTTACTAAAGGCATGCTACAGGGGTTCCAAGAATGGGCAGCTCATCTAAAGCTATTTTCTGCCAAGCTTTACTGAGCACTTCCTCTATACCAAGTACTGAGCTAGGCACAGGGGTACAAAAAGAAAATGAGTTACATTCCCACCATCTAAAACTTCCTAGCCAGGTGAGGTGGCTCACTCCTGTAATCCCAGCACTTTGGGAGGCCGAGGCCGGCAGATCACCTGAGGTCAGGAGTTCGAGACCAGCCTGGCCAACATGGAGAAACTCCGTCTCTACTAAAAATATAAAAATTAGCGAGACGTGGTGGTGGGTGCCTGTAATCCCAGCTACTCGGAAGGCTGAGGCACAGAGAATTGCTTGAACCCAGGAGGCAGAGGGTGCAGTGAGCGTGAGCCAAAATTGCACCACTGCACTCCAGCCTGGGCAACAGAGTGAGACTCCATCTCAAAAAAAAAAAAAAAAAAAAAAAAAACACTTTCCTAATGGAGGAGGCTGATACATAAAGTACTATTTCCATATAATGAGGTATATGTGTGCTGGTGCTTAGTAACAGAGAATAGGCTCAATAAGCTCAATGCAAACCTATAGGTATCAGCCACATATGGAATTATAAATATTCTACTAGCCTTGTTAAGAAAGAGAAAAAGAAACAAACGAAATTAATTTCAATATTATTTTTTAAATTAATATCTAACATAGTATCATTTCTACATGAAAAGATTTTTAAAAATTAATAGTGCTTCAGCTTTTAAATTTAAACTAAAAGTGAATGCAATTTTAAAATCAGCTCCTTCATGTACAAGCCACATTTCAAGTACTCAACAGTCACATGTGACTAGTGGCTACCATATAGACAGGGTGGATCTAGAGGAAATGACACTTGAGTTGGGTTTCTAAGAAGGACCAAGAGTTATCAATGCAATGAAGGGTGGGAATGGCATTCCAAGCAGAAGGATCAGTGTAGGGGGAGACAAAGATTAAGAGTTAATAGAAAAATGAATGCGGTAAAAGAAGAGGCTGGAGATACAGGCACGGATAAGATGAGCTAAACAGTGCTTTGTATGCTGAGTTAAGGAGTTAGAATTGATTCTGTGGTGGTTATGGGGAGAGGTATTAGTTTTCTAGGTCTGCCATAACAAATCACCACAAACTTGATGGCTTAAAACAATAGAAATTTATTCTCTCACAGTTCTGGAGGCCAGAAGTCAAAAATCCAATAGTTGGCAAGGCCATGTTCCCTCTGAAGTCTCCAGGGGAGATTCCTTCCTTGCTTTTTCCAGCTTCTGGTGGCTCCCAGTGTTCCTTGACCTCTGGCAGCATCATTCCAATTGCTGTTCACCTTCATGTGATCTGTGTCTCTGAGCCTTATCTCCCTTCTCTGTCTTCTTATAAGGACACTGGACATTGGATTTAGAGACCACCCTAAATCCAGGATGATTTAATCTCAAGATCCTTAATTACTCTGCAAGGACCCTATTTTCAAATAATGTCACATTCACAGGTATCAGGCATTTGAAGTTGGATAACTTTTTTTGGTGGTGGGGACAATCCAACCCACCACAGGAGGGCTATTAGCAAGGGAGAGAGGCAATCAGATTTGTCTTGTAGAAATATAAGAATAATGAATTAATTTTATAAGGCACATAACTCAGGGTTTATGGTAAAACTTTGTATTTAGTCCTCACTTTAAATATATATATATATATATATATATATATATATAGTCAGCATTCAGATGCATAAACTGAGGCTGAAGATCAGGCTGGTAAATATCTGAGGCAGTCTTGGGACTAGGCCCTCCTGAGTCCAAAGTTCACACTCTGGACCATTAGCTCTGTGCCACTTCTGTCTGAATTCTCCCTGTTATCTAGCCCATAAGGGAGCTGCCTCTTCCATCTCCATAACACTCATACATATCATGGATTGACTGTTATTTTGCAAACACCTTGCAGAGTTATAAAGTGAGAATTAAATTAAACGGCAGATGAGAAGTAGTCCTGGCCTTCAAGTACTTGCTTTGGTCTAGTGGGGGAAACAAACTGTAAACGAATATACCCCACATAATGTCATCATACTACAAAGCTCAGACACACTTAACATGGGAGAGTCTTCACAGAAGAAATCATCTGTGCCCAGAAACACACATCCATTTTGATATTTTCTCAAATTATACCTAATAACTTTGTCAACATGGATAAAAACGTAATTGAGAATAATTAAAATAGAAGTGACCTCTCCTTTAGCTAGTGATTGGGATTGTCTTGTCCAGGTCTACCTTCATGAGAGTGGGGTCATCTTCTCCAGTTCTGCCTGCTTGGGCCATGATTAGAGTGTTATTGGTTTACTTACACAGGGTAGATACTCCAACAAGAGAAAAAAAAATTAGTCAGTTCCTTTCTGACATCCAAAATTCTAAGTAACTTTGGGAAGAGGCAACCAAGAGTTCCATATGGACCAGATGTGAAACTCCCTAACAGCAAAATCACTTTTAAAGATTGAGTGAGGAGATCACGAAACACACTATAAAGACATAGATCATCGAGAGGTAATTTGACATACAGAAAAGAGCCCAGTCTTTGAAGTCAGCTCTACGGGAGGTTGCATCCTTTGACCTTAGGCAAATAACTTAACTTCCATCACTCATCCAACAAAAAATTATTAATGATTCACTATACACGAGGTACTCTTTTAGGAGAGCTTGGGATACTTGTGAATGAAACCGGCAAGGAAAAAAAAATTCCTACTCTCATGCAGCTTACATTTGGAAGGAGGGAAGGGGAATGAAGGAATAAATAATAAATTATATATCATTTTATATTAAAATTAAAACCACAATGAGATACCACCTTACTCCTGCAAGAATGGCCATAATTAAATAATAATAATAATAGATGTTGGCATGGATGTAGTGAAAAGGGAACACTTTTACACTGCTAGTGGGAATGTAAACTAGTACAACCACTATGAAAAAAAGTATGGAGATTCCTTACAGAACTAAAAGTAGAACTACCATTTGATACAGCAATCCCACTCCTAAGTATCTACCCAAAGGAAAAGAAGCCTTTATATGAAAAAAGACACTTGCAGTGCAATTTGCAATTGCAAAAATATGGAACAGCCTAAATGCCCATCAACCAACAAGTGGATAAAGAAAATGTGGTATATACATACTATGAGAAACTACTCAGCCATAAAAAGGAATAAAATAATTTCATTTACAACAACCTGGATGGAGTTAGAGACCATTATTCTAAATGAAGTAATTCAGGAATGGAAACCAAATATCGTATATTCTCACTTATAAGTGGGAGCGAAGCTATGAGGACGCAAAGGCAAAAGAATAATATAGTGGACTTTGGGGACTTGGGGAGGGTGGGAGGAGCGTGAGGGATAAAAGACTACACATTGGGAACAGTGTACACTGCTCGGGTGATGGGTGCACCAAAATCTCAGAAATCACCACTAAAGAACTTACCCCTTTAACCAAAAACCACCTGTTCCCCCAAAAACTATTGAAATAAAAAATAGAAAAAAATAACAACACGGAAATAAAAATATAGTAGTCAGAGTGGGCCTTATTGAGGAGGTGACATTTAAGCTAAGACCTGAAGGAGATAAAGAAGTGAGCCATGCAGTTATCCAGAGATGGCATTATATGCAGAAGGAACAGCCAGCGCAAAACCCTAAGGTGCATTTCTAGCAGCAAGGAGGCTGACGTAGCTAAAGTGGAGTGAAAGGAAAAAGATGAAAATAAGTTAAATAAGGAAAAGAGGCCATATCGTGTAGGGCCTTGTAGGCCATTGTGGGGACAATAAAGAACACTTCTAAGGTCTTGTGTGGAGAAATGGCATGATATGACTTATGTCAAACAGGTTAATCTGACTATGAGAATCAACCACACGAAAAAAAATGGAAACAGGGAAACCAGTTAAACTCCATTGTATCAGTCAGTGACACAGGATGGTGGCTAAGATCATAGTGAAGGTAGTAGAAGGCATGTTGAAAAACAACCCGATCCTTAGTATACTTTGAGGGTATTATAACTAGATTTTCTGACAGATTAAATAATGGGTGAGAGAAAAAGAGTGGAGTTCAAGATCACTCCAATGTCTTTTGATGGAACAGCAGGAAAAACAAAGTTGCCTTCCACTGAGATGAGGAAGGCTGAGAAAAGCAAGCTTGAAAGGGAAGATAGCAGTGTAATTTTGCACAGACTGAGCTTGGTACGTCTACTAGAGGCCAGCAGCTGAAGCTCAAGAGAGAAGTCTGCACTGGAGATAAACATTTATTAAACACTGACATACACCTCGTATTATGGATGATGAGGCTGGATAAGGCTACCAATGGAGTGAGAGTACAGAAAGAAAGAAAACAAAAGAGGACCAATCCTTAAGACATTCCAATCTTTATAGGCCTGAGAGAAGAGGCAAGACCAGCAAAGGAGACTGAGTTGGAGCAATCTGTGAAGCAGGAGATAATCTAGCCAGCCTCTGGGAGACAGGTGAAGAAAAGTGTGCCAAGGAGGGGGAAATCAACTGAATCTAATGCTGCTGATAAGTCAGTGAGATGAGGGCTGCAAATTGATCTTTGGGTTTAAAATGGAAGTCATTGATAACTTTGACAAGAAGTTAAATTGAGTTTAAGAGAGAATTAGAGAAGAGGTATTGGAGACAAAGAAAAATTTTGATTTGACATTCAAGGAAACTGAGAAACTGGGTAACAGCTGGAAAGAACAGTGGGATTAAGATGGAAGAAATAAAGTATGTTTTTGTACCCATAGGAATAACCCAGTAAAGAAGAGATATTAAATAATGTACGAGAGAAACGGGAATTGCTATAGTGGTGTCCTTGAGTGGGCTAAAGAGAATAGGACATTATTATACACATAAAATAATTTGTTTTAGAAAGAAACATAGATAATCAATAGTAATAGTATGAAGGCAGAATATATGGGAAAATGCTGCTGGGGTTAAATGAGGTTGTAATTATCTGAGTTTCTGTTTCCTCAGTTGTAAAATGGAAGCATTAGTAGGGCTGTTGAAGGCTTAAATGAAATAATTGTTGTAAAATGATTACAATAAGTTATATAGTAGGTGCTCAATAAATGAGTGTGAGTATGTGTAAATAATCAAGATCATGTCAGGAAAACTGAAGCTCTTATTCAATGAGAGGTTTTACATATGGGATTCAGAGGCTTAGCCAGTTGCTGAAAGAGCTTGGAGTGTGAGGGTCAAGCAGTACCACTGATGCGCTCAGCTTGGGCACCAGTGTGGTGAAAGCTGCTTCAAACCTCACATGTGACCATCTGTCGTGGCTGCAACTGCCCCAGGAGAATACTAGCCTTCTTTGTTGTGCCTTCCAGATCTGACATGGTGTGCCACTCACTAGCTAGTACACTGGTTCTATTGGCAGAGCCATATGGGAAAAGGTGCCTGGAAATGTCACTCTTGGATTCTCCAAACTGCAGCAGATTGTAGAAGGAGGTAGCAGAGATGCTGAGTTGGCATCAAGCAACCCAGCACAGTATTTATATCCACATGTACAACGAGCACACCATTCAAGGCTCCAGTCTATGCAGAGTAGACAAAAGATGTCTTATAGCTTCTCAAACATTAAGCATGCTTCTAACTTCTAACTTGGAGCTGATACACATTTAAAAATACTTAAGCCACTTAACTATAAACATCTCTCAGTTAACCCTCTGAAGTAATGAATAAGCCCAAGTGTTATTCTCAGACTATGACACTTCAGCAGTAGTTCGGATCAAGCAAATATTTTTATTCCTGTACAGTGCTGAAATGAGTACAAAGCAAAGCTAGCAACAGATATTAATTATTATGAGCCTTGAATACTCACTTTGGATTCATCTTACCTTTATAAAAATTGAAAGAGGAAAAGAATTAAACTTTTTGTGTGTATAAACTTTTCACTATTGTTTTAAATAAATACTTTGGCTTTTCCTATGTTCCCCTAAATTGGTGTCTCACCTGCAGGGGAATTTTCTGGTTTGGATGGCCCCTGTGTATTGTGGGGTTTTGACTAGTAGTTATTGAGCAGGTACTATGTAGCACGCACTGCCTTAGGTACTTTAAATGTGTTTTCTAATTTAAACTTCTCAGCTACCTTTAGGCTGAGGTATTGCTGTTTGCATTTTTCTGGTGTACACACTGAGACTCAAAGAGTTGAAATCATTAACCCAAGGATCCACACTTATAAGTGGGGGAGCTAGAACTCAAAGCCACTTCTACTGAGTTCTAAGCTCACAGTTTTAACTACCACACTATACAACCTTGATTTCAGTGCCAGGAAAAGTTTGCCTGCATGCTTTTATCAGAGAAAGATAACCTCCTTTTTTGACTTGACAGCCAGGAAGCTCATGCACAAATTTATTGCACGGTGTCATTAACTCTGGCTTGCTTTGACATGGTTTCTAACTTATTTTTTATTTCTATAATCTTTTCCATGTGTGTGTGTTTATATTTGTGCTGCAATTATTAGCTATCATTAAATAATGCTATAGATGCATATATAGATGTCTTCATTTATCTTATCACTGATCTATTAGAAATCATCCAGAACAATAAGAGAGCATCCCAAGTGATGAGAAAGATGAGAGTTTCTTTTAATTTCAAGGCTAATTTAGTATTTTATTTATAAATTATTGATTTTCTGATTATTATGCATATTATCCATATGCATACCTAGAGTGTTGCCTTCTTAAAAGTGTTTAAAGAAAAAAAATATGCACACAGGCAATTCTGTGATAAATAATGCACATTGATCATAAGTACCCATTCTGAAAACCCATTAGATACATTGATTTGCTTTTAAAAGAGAATCTGCTGCTGATGGAGCAAAGTGATTCACTACTGGCAAGAATAATGAAAACAGAAGCAAACTAAATTAGTCTCCAGACATTCCAAGGACCAACGGAAAAGATGAAAGAGTCAGTGGTATAGTGAGAATCAGATTATATCTGCTTATATTACTGAGTTGGTGACTTGATAACCATTAGATGAACCATTCCACTGGAACTAGCTGATTGTTAGGACTTCCTGCAATCATCCATTAATAGCCAGCATACCTACAGAAATTTAGTTCAAAGAGTGCCTGAGTATGGAAGAAGTGGACTCCCATTGATCTTGGAAGTGATTATATCTCCACCATTCAACCACAGCTTCCTAACTGAATTCAGCCTTGTATTCTAGAGTAGTGTCCTTATATTTAAATCTTGCATGGTTCTCCCAGATATGTACTAAAATTGGAGCTCTGTGTTGCTCTTGCTTGTCCTCTCTGACATACTAGAGTCTGTCTATGAGGCCTAGTCTTGTGACAGGGGCCCTGAATAGCTTTCTATGATACAACTGCCTTTCTAGTAACACCTAACCTTAAATTGACCATCTCTGAGGCCCACTCTCAATTTAATGCCTCATTAATTTTCCTTAGACTCCCTGTAATCTCTTCATGCCAGTGTTTACTAGTTGCCTAGACTGTAAACTTTAGTTATTGTGCTCCCTTTGGACATGTCACTTTGTCCCCAGCTGGAACCTCTGCAGTTAGCAGCTGCAACCAGGTCAGGTCCTCAAGTCCTGATTCTGCCTGAGACTCAGTTCCAGTGACAGTCCACACCCTTCCCTGTCTCCTTTGGTCAACCATGACCACAGATTCCTTAAATATGACTCTTAGGGGTTTTACAACTGAATATTTGCATTTCATTTTAGGTATGCCTATGATGTATTTCTTCATCTTTTTTTGCAAATTGTATCATGTTCAGTTTCTAGATGAACATATAACTTTTTAAATAATATACAGTTCTCCTGTGAGTCTTTTCACTCTACATGAGAATGTGTCTTTCCTACAACTGAAATATCTATCTGTGCTCCTGCCTAATAGGCCATATTAGTCACAGTGTATAGATTTGAATGGACTTCTCAAACTCTCCATGGATATCAAGCATTTCTCCCTTTGAGAGATGTGGGGACAATTCAAGTTTGCTCAGGTCTTCTACACTTAGAAGTTGACTGTATTTTTTTCTCTTCACAAACCTCTCTTGTAAATATTTCTCTCAAACCTGATCCCAATTAGGTCCAAAGTTAACTATTTCAAAATAACCATTTTCTATATCCTCTCTAAAATGTAACCATTTGTGTGTCTCTGTGCATCTGTTTCACCAAAAACTTAAAGTAGGCAACAATTCAATTTAAAGCAAAATTGGAAAGGAAAGAAAGCCTTAAGTGTTTTTGAGATATTACACCAATCCCTCCTTTTTGTTAAGGATGACTTAATCTAGAATTGTAGTTATACATTTGCTTCTTCCATCACATACTTCAGCCTACCACACAGGAGCTCATCATTCACCAGATGAAGTTATTTCCATCTGGCTTTTAACACTATTCTTGATGTTTTACAGATTAATCAGTGCTTTCAATACCTTCATTAATTTCATTCTGGTAGGGGTCCATAGAATAATTCTCTTTTGAGGTCTGGACTTCCAAGCAAATCCCACTGTAAATAAAATTTTGTCACAGTAAACCCTACACTGCTTCCTAACTTAGTTACAGCTGTGGATCTTAAATTAAAAGTCTGGATGATATAATTTGATTATGATGCAGGAACTTGAATTCAGGCACAGGGGCCATGATGGAAATATCAGAGTGCAACTAACTTTTAGCAATATGAGAAAACATTATTGAGCTACTTATGCATGGACAGAATCTGCCCTGAAAGCCTGGCAAATCTTCATAAAAGCCAGGAGTGCAATCAAGTTAGCAGCATTAAAAGCAGAGCCCATGGCTTGCACTCCAAAGCATGCACTGTGGGTAATGCCATTACTGGTACACCTGCTCCAACCAGCTGGCAAAACTGAAGTGTGTCTTTTGACTCAGCAAAGTCAACCCAATGCCCCCAGACAGCTGAAAGCTACCAAAACATTGATATTTGTGAAGGAAGATTTTGCTAATGGATCTACATTTTCTCATAATCATAATAGCATATTTCAAACACGACTCTCCCATAGCAGTGCTAGAATAAGAGTCTTAACGAGTCACATCAGGCCATGAGGCAACAGCACTACTGTCTTGGGTATCATTCTGGTGCACATTTCTGCCTAAGGAGCTCTGAGCATACATTAACACTATAAAATCTGGCACAGACTCAAAGATTCACTGTGAAGGGTACAAAATGGAGCTTTACTGTCTATGGGCCGATTAAGTGGAATATATAATTCCATAATAAAAATGCCAAGTCAAATTGGTCTTCGGAATGGCAATTCTTTTGTGGAAACCCAACTGTTATGAAACTAAAGTACAGCTCTCCTCTCTCTGAAGAAGGGGTCCTCCTGGTGGAAAATGTGGCATTTGTAGAACATACATGGAACAGTGAGGGAGGAAAGAAGACTATCCGTAACCAATCTAGTTATCCAAATCAATCCTAAAGATTAAAATAGTGACCTTTGTGAGAATCACATCACCCTAAATCTAGGGTCCCATTGAGTCAGCTTTTCAAGTGCAATTGTTCATCTCAATAAACACTTATGGAGCATTCCAGATAATACAACAGTCTGTAGAAAGGTTTATAAAAAATAACTCTTAACCCCAAATGTTGCAGGTGAGATTTCTCTGGAAACAGACTACAAGATGGAGATTTGCATGCAGGAAGTTTGTTAAAGTATAAAAACTGGGATTGATACACATGAGGGAGTGAGGAAAGCAAGACAGTACAGGGGGGGAAAGTTAAACTGCAATGTAGTCACAACAAAGGCTTCAGATGATCCCACAGAGGGCAAAGGAGAAGGTTTGACCCCCTTAAAGTTTCTCAAATTGAGGCAAGGCAGCCAGGTCTTTATAAATCATATTGACCAGCCACTGGGTATGGACAAGGTGACTCTCTTCAGCCAGGGGAAAATTTGAAAGTCATTGGAATCTGTCAATTACCAATATTTCCAATAACTGGGAAATAGACATGTCCATCTTGGAAGCAGGCAGGATGATCTGGGTGCCACACCACAGCATGAACTACATCAAATGAGAGTGCAGGCCAGCTTTTGTTTCTGAATTAAGTGAAGGGTCTAGTGATTATTCTGTCACCCAATCTAACACTACAGGAGCTATGAGAACCTAAAATAAGCCGCCTAATTTACAACAGAACAATAAAAGTTTTGCTGTAATTGTGACCAATTTTTTTTTTTCCTGGAGAACAGTTTCTCAAAATCATCCTCTAAAGAAAGAAGAAGCAGACTCATAATCTAAGCAAAATAAACTAAGTGTGAAATCAGCAGTACTATAAGGTAGAGTCTACCTAATTCTCTGCTTCAAATTCAGGATTTCCCTGGCAGGGCATCATCCTGCGCATGAGGAGCAAATGACTGTACAGCATCCTGAAATCAGAACCCCTGCTACCTGTCCTGCTAAAGACCAAAGAACCAGGAAAATAAAAGCCACTAACATTTTCTGAACACTTACTGTGCACCTGGTACTGCTATGAGTGTGCTACATGTATGATTACCCATAATCCCCAAAGCAACTAAATGAGGTAGGTACTGTTTTTTATATTGCCATAATTCAGAAGAGGAAACTAATTTACAGAAAAATTAAAAACTGTTCAAGCTCTAATGCACAGCAGAGCCCAAACTCTAAGTTAGACCCAAAGAACATCTAAAAACATTGTTGTTTTGGATATTCTCATTTCGTCCCTAAAGACACCCTCTGCAGCCTTCTCCTGCATCCCAGACACTGATTTCTATGAATTCCATCCACGGAGCTCCCTTGTCTCCTAGTTTCCAGTTCAGTTGACCAAAAAGAGTTACCAGCAAGAGATCAAAGCGTATAAAGAGACTGAGATCGAGGTATTTCCTGACTGATTTTTTTTTTCCCTGCTGGGCCACAGATTGGCCGTGACTCTTTTCCTCTACCAAAGGTTATTTCTATAGCTAGATATGTCTCTGGGTTCCAATAACACCACCTCCTCTTTCCCCTTCAGACTACCATTACTGGTTTTGAGACACGTCTTCACCTATTGTTCATGTCCTTTAACCCTATCCACAGTTTTTCAAATAGACCCTTTATTAAGCATGCCTCAATTTCCCCATTTAAGAGTGTCATATGTTTCCTTCTGGGGCCCTGGTGTATTGAGGAATGTAGCTGGATCTCCTATGCAGTGTTTAGAGAGGACACGGGTCTCATGGATGTAAAAGACACTGATAAATTTCTCCACTAAGACAAGGTGATCTTAATACACAGACAGCTCCTTTGTCACTGAGGATATCCACAGAGATGGGAGAAGAAAAAACAGACCAAAGGCAGGTGAGCAGCCAACCTAGCAACTGGTGTTTGTTCAAAGGTGAGATGCTCCATCATAGACAGAATGTGGCTGAGGAAATGATGGATGTGGATAAGAGTGTTGAAAAAGAAACTAGTGCTAGATACTGGGGTCATATGGCCACAGAATAAGAATGTAGTGAGGTTGAATGTAAATGGGGGGAAGTTAACTTTATATTTCTCATTTTCCCTTAAGCATTCATTACTGCTGACAGTAAAAAGTACTTGCTAATTATAAGCTTCTGGTCTCTTCTAGTTTAACACATAATCTCTTTCAGGTAATTGGCCTTTCTGGGTTCCTTTCTCCTTCAGTTCTCATTCTCTTCTCCAGACATTAGATAGAAGGTGATGCTCGTGTTATATCATGGGGTGGGGTGAGATGGAACAGGGGGTTGTGGTGCTCTACTTCTTGCAATGGGCTTCAGGGCTCATCACAGCTGCGCAGAATGTGTGGGTTGGTGTCACTTCTATGTGGTCAAGGTCCATTGGTCTGCGTGCGGGGATGGCTTGTGTCTGGATCTGAACGCTCAGCAATGGTGGTCTGCCCGCAGCTCTCCACTTCAGAGTCTTCTAACTCCTTGACTCAGAGACACCCCTGAGGAACTCTTCAACCAGTACCTATAGCAGCCCTCTGCGGCACACAGTAATCTCCTGACCTCCTCCATGCTAGTGTGGACTCTGGAGAGCCAAGGGCACTATCTCAGTCTTCCTGGCCTGAGCATCTTCCTCCGCCACTTCTACTAACAACTTGGGTTTAGGTCCATAGTAGCTAAGACACCAGCTGAATTTGGATTCTCTCTGAGGAGTATGAAGTCTTCTAAACTAGGCCAAAGGCCAAGAGGTCAAAAAATGGGAATCCTGCTCTAAGATTTTACCACACTCCAAACTGATGTGGGTAGTTCGCTATCTGTTGCATTTCTGTTCCTTCCAAGGTATGGTCCAGTGGAGGTGGAAGGCTCACAGGGTAACGTCAACTCTCACCTCTCACCTTTCTCAGACTCTTTCCCCAGATTTCTCTTCTCAGTACTGAAGTAGTTTCCCATTGTCCTTCTCTATAATTGAGAAGTACCTTATCATATCTCCTTTTCCCTTCCAAGGATTCTCTGGTCTCTTCTCTTTGCTGAAAAGAATCAGCCCAGACAGGATTTTCACACTTAGCACTATTGACATTCTGGACCAGAAAATTCTTTGTTGTGGGCACAGGCAGGGGTATCTCATGCATGTGGTATATTTGGCAGCATCACTGGTCTCTATTCACTAGATGCCAGTTGCAAACTTTCCAGTTGTAACAACTGAAAATGTCTCCAGATATTTCTAAATGTGCCCTAGAGGACAAAAATTACTTCTGGTTTAAAATTACAAGGTAGAATTAATAGAAGAAAAGTTCAAGGGGTAAATACAAGAATAAGAAAAGAAAGTAAGGAAAGAAGGAAGAGAGGTAGAGAGAGAAGAAATGAAGAAGGAAAATAAATCAAGATGTATTTCAAAAAATATTCTGCCACTGGTGATTCATATTTTCCACTAAGGTCACTTAATCTCACCTGTTTGTCACTCCCTTCCAGGAAGGTGGAAGCTATGTTCTAACTGAGAATCTGCTTGTCCATCAACTTCCTCCTTCCTCACCCTCATATCCTACTGAGGCAACTCGCTACCACTTTCTAAACCACATTGCCTTGCCTGCAAATAAAGGGCATGGGACAAGATCATTTCTAAACCTTTCTCCCAACTCTGCTAATCTACAATTCTGCTGTGACACGTTCTCTGTTGAAAAACAATAACCCAAATTGTCATTCTCTTCTTGTGTCTGTGGGAGCTTTAAGAAGCAAACACATAAGATTAAGATGACTTTCTTATACACACAACCATTATCATTTTATTTTCACAGTCAACCTCTTTTTTGCCTTTTCTCAAAGCTTCCAGGATAAGTGTCTAGAAGAAAATATATCTTTGTCATCCTGAAATAAATGGAGGCCTAACTTCAGTTGATGGATAAGACTATACCAAGAAATCTGAATGGTGTATGCCTGACGATGATTATTTGGACCATGTTCAAGGGACCACAGTAGAAATCCTTCATTAGCATCATGACATTTTCATTATTGCCGGTGTCAGGAAGGAAAGTGTTGCAAGTATTTGGAGGATAGGGTTTCAACATTTGTCAAATGCAATTACCCAGACTTTTTAGCTCCACAGTTGATTGGAATGCTATCTTCCACTTCCCATAACACCCAGTAAGTAGAAAAGGAAGCAGAAGGGTAGTTCATAAAATAGATGCAGGAATAACAACATCGTGTTTAAATTAGAATGACATGAATGAGTTTGTAGTACTTTGAAACCACATAACCCTGAGAGAGCTAAAAGGTCTATTAGAGATAATGAGGCCCGTAGATGTGACGTTCCAGTGAAAAGGAATGAGGCAACGTATACTTGAATCACAAAACAGAATGCAATCCAAATACAGTTTTCAAACCACAAATGAAATGTTGGCTTAAAGCACTGCATCTCTCTGCATGAAACACCGAGAATTAGGTGCTGAATCTCACTGCTTCAAGGACTAAAGCTAACCAGCTCTTGAGGGGAAGGATGAAATAGATGAGTTTCCCCTGAACATTATCCCAGACACCTGCCACTCTGGAAACGGGCCAACAGTCCTTCTAATGATCACTCTTTCCAGTGCAATTTTCAGACACGTCACTTGCCACAGAACTTTCGTTTCTGCTATATCCCAGGATTGAAAATGTTAGCTAGGCTTCCAGTTTTGTGGCTGCTTTAAAAGCTGTTACAAGTCAGGAACTGTTTGGGCCATTAAAAGACACAGAACACAGGGTTTTCCTGGAAGTCTATTCTCTGTGATAAAGGAATGAGGACTTGCTGAAAAAGAGTGTTGCTGCTATCGGCCAGCAGCATCCAGCATCCATAATCCAGGATTATTCCTTTCTCTTTACTTTGGATCATGATTGTCCTCACCATAAGGTAAATCAGTATAAGAGAATTTCTTAGGAACCCCAGGGCATCCACAGAGTCACAACCATGTTGCTAAGATGGCAAAATATTTAGGTGGAAAATGTAAACTTCATTTTTTAAAAAGGCAAGCAAGAAATTCCCTAAATTCAAATTAAAAAAAAAAAAACTCCATTAAATAAATTTCAGTGTCAAAGATCACAAACTGGGAGCCCCATAAGCTAAATTTAGAGCGCAGATGTTACCAAGTTAGTTTTGATGAAAAGAATGTTTTAGAAAAGTTGAATTTGAATCCCATTAGGAGGGGCATATACATCCCTTCTCCCCTCTGACTCACTGTTCCCTGGCTCTTATACTGACCCACATCAGTCTTTTTTGTTATTTGACTAGCCCCTGAAGGTGTGTTTGTAAGCCTGTGTTTCTCAGGTTTCTTAGTTGCACACAATAAGCAGATAAAAAGCTTTTGTTACAGGATACTAGGTGGCTCACAGAAACCCTGAGAGGGCCAGAGGTACAAACTAAGGAGTTACCCAAACAAGAACAATACTGACCACAGATTCAGAACTGGACACAGCAGCCTCCATGTTTTCCTCCAAAGATGACCACTTCCACTGCTGCTCTGTGCAGAAGGTTGACCCTCCGCTGCTGCAGCCTCACTTGGCTTACTTCCAGGTCCAATTTTGCCTGGCAAAGCCAGGATCTCATGCCTTCCACTGTGAGATTTTACTCAATAATGTGGATTTTAAAAATAAGATATATCTGCCGGGCGCGGTGGCTCACACCTGTAATCCCAGCACTTTGGGAGGCCGAGGCGGGTGGATCCCGAGGTCAGGAAATCGAGACCATCCTGGCTAACACGGTGAAACCCCGTCTCTACTAAAAACACAAAAATTTAGCCGGGCGTCATGGCGGTCGCCTGTAGTCCCAGCTACTCGGGAGGCTGAGGCAGGAGAATGGCGTGAACCCGGGAGGCGGAGCTTGCAGTGAGCCGAGATCGCGCCACTGCACTCCAGCCTGGGCAACGGAGAGAGAGTCCGCCTCAAAAAAATAAATAAATAAATAAATAAATAAATAAAAAATAAGATATATCTACCTATTAAGTTACAAAATTCTAAAAAAGTTTTCAATCCTCTGTGAAAAGGTTTTTACTATTAAAGTAAAAAAAAAGAAAGATTTATTGTTTAACTTAGACCTTTTTTCAAATGTTAAAGGGGCAGCATTTCACCACCTAACTTCCTAAAATGTGATAGTTTGAAATATAAAGGCACCAAAACAATATAAAACCCAAACAAATAAAAAGAAAATTAATTAAACAAATACTAAAATGTGGAGCCGAAAAGAGATACAGTAACAAACTTAGGCTAAGGGTAGCTACCATAACTTCTCAGAAAATAACCATATTTCGCAGCAGCCAAAGCAAAACGAGAAAGTTAGTATGTTACATCATTCTTATTGTTTAGTAAAAAGCACATATACCAGTTTACCGGGGAAATATGTCTATTTCATAGTTTTGAACTGAAAAAAATTTATCATGATGCACGTACAGTGAACAACAAACTGATGGTGTCTTTGAAAATGATTTTACAAAAGCTTATCACTATAGCTCTATTTATGGCCATTCTTTATTTCACAGTTTAAGGAGTAAATATAAATTGCAATTTGGTCAAGGCACTTATATAGAGAATCAGAGTAATACATTCCAGTAGGTGGCTAGCTCATGGTGTGCTTCAATATCATGATAAAGCCTTAAAAATCTGATAAAAATAGGGTTCAACTTCTCTAATACTGACACACCAATTTTCTCAGCAGGACTTTTAATGAACAATGTATAACAGTCAAATTCAGACTGAAGTCCTTCCATGCAAGTTCCCTGTGCTGCTGATTGCAAGGAGAAGCTTAAGTTCTTAAATGAAGACAACATCACTATTATTTTACTAAGGAAATTAAAAATTGTAAGTTGTTGTCTGACTTGTATACAGGCAGTACACTGCAAAAGGAGAGAGTGTTGTTGTTGTTGTTGTCTTCCCAAGCAGTAGTTTTGAATTCATTTGAATACTTGAGCAAGGGTTTGATGGAACTACTGGAGTTCTGCATGTAAATAACAGGATACAGAACCAGGCCTGGATCTAGGATTTAAAAGAACAAGTTACAGTCTTCGTTCTCTGAAGTCTGTGTGATGTTTGTGACTTGTTCATTCCCCTGAGGCCAAAGGAAAATGGGGCAAGGCTGAGGCTGAAATTGACCTTTCGGACGAGACACTGTATTAGTTATCTGTTGCTGTATAACAAATTTCTCCAAAACTTAGTGGCTTCAAACATTTATTATCTCATAGCCTCTTTGGATCAAGACTGTGGGAACAGCATAGGGGGATCCTCTGGTTCTAGGCTTCTTACAAGGCTGAAGTCATCTCAAGGCTTACCTGGGGACAGGTTCACTTCTAAGCTCACTCATCTTGTTGGCAGGATTCAGTTCTTCATAGGCTGTTGGACTTAGGGTCTCAATTCCTCATGAGTTGTTGGTCTGAGGCTTCTCTTTGTTCCTTTCCATGAGGTTTCCTTTGTAGGGAAGCTCACAATATAGGAACTGGCTTCATCAGAGCAAGGGAGAGGAAAAGAGAGTGCTAGCAAGACTCAAGTAACTCAAGCTTTTGCACCTTAATCTTGGAAGTAACACCGTATTACCTTTGCTATAGTATTCTATCTGTTAAAAGCAAACAACTAGGTCCATCCCACACTAACAGAGAGGGAATACACAAGATTGTAAATACCAGAAGCAGGGATCACTGGAAGCTATTTCAGAAGCTGCCCACCACAGGCATAGACACAGCAACCTGGGAGCTAAAACAAAGGAAAGTCAGTTACTGTTGTATAAGCTAGAGTCATGGTTTTTAAGCAAATTTAATGGTTAAAGTCTTTTCAAGCAAAATATTTAAAACAGGTAAAAGCAGGGTTATCCTCCCTAAAGCATTGAGTAAGGCTCAGGGCGTGATGGATACTCATCATAATGCAGTTGCAACATAGGCCCAAGCCTGGGTTCCTTGCCTCCTGACACCCAGGAGCTTGGGCACAGGCTGGAAGCATTGGAAATGGGTGCCCACAATGGCCTGATATGAATCACAGCCAGAGGAAGAAGGGAGAGCTGCTCTAATGGAAGATGGGAGCAAGCTATCTTCCCACACAGCCTTTCTCATCCCCTGTGTCAGCCAAAATAATTACGGGTAGGCAATATATCTTTAAAAACTTAAAGGAAAATCACACATTTATTGAACCCCTGAAACCTAGAATGCCACCAAAAATAGTGTGAAAAACACTGGAGTCAGAAATCATATAACAAATGGAAGAGTTAAGTCACATGCAGCCAAGAAGAGAGATCTAAGAAAGTCAAATATGTCTTTCCAATGGGAAAGGCAAGGCAAATGGGAAGCTGCAAGAGTGGAGTTTGGTGAAATGAAGCATCAGGATCAGAATGGATGGGAAGAGATAGAAAACCAGATCAGAAGCACATCTGACACTCTCAGCCCAACTGTTGGGCACATGGCTTATCTAGGAGAACATTCTTGAAGCAATGAAACTACAACTGATCAGAGGTGAGCTTTTTTGGGTAACCGTTTGTTCTGATTTTGCGAAGGCAGTCCTGGTTTGTGCTTGTGCTTTTATTAGTAGTCCTCTTTTCCATTCTCAAAAATGTCTCAGTTTGGAAAAATAAATTATCTCTAACTTTTCTGAATAACAAGCTTAAGCAACATACACCTTTAAGGATTGGGTTTTTTTAAACTTGCCTTGCTCATCATTTTTGCCCTTTAATTTCCTTTTGAGTGGTCCCTTTTTAATGATTAATTCTATACTCAATAACATCTTTCATTCTTTTCTACTAAAACATTTTACAACTTTCCATTTAGGATTGGGGTGTGGTTGGATAGTCAGAGTTAGAATATTTGAACTTGAAGTAACCTCAAGGTTACCTAGTAGTTAATATCAGCAGAATTTTTATCCAGATCAAAACATTTAGTGCTAATTGGCTATATATCACAAGGATTCAAGCCCCCATAACAAGAGAAGATGAACAATGGATGAGACTTTAAAGAAAAACATCAAGACATAGCCTCAGTTAAGACCTGTGATGGCTATTGTGGGGTATAGACAGAAGGAGGCTTACTTGATAAGTTACAAGAAGGCTTATTCACTAGGCCTTAGCCTATGTTCATTTTTGGAATATGAGCTGGGGTGGAAATATTCCAGTACCCATTTTCATTATGTTAATTTTTATCTCTTGTTCCATAGCTATATTCTCCTATGAACTTGTGAGTCAGTTGCTCTTGAATTTGGGTATCCCAGGGAGGGAAGCTAAGGACAAGACACAGTGGGGTGAATTGTAGCTTACAGCGTTAGTAAAAACATTGGGCAAAGTCATAAAATCATCTAGGACTCAGTTTCTTCATGAATAAAATGAAGGTTTTAGCCAGGCAGTCTAGATATTTTTTTCACATCCGGTTGCAAACTCCCATGTTTACAACAGTGCATTTGACCAAACATTTTTGAACTACTTCCCCACGCTGCAAAATGTACAGGTTCTGGAACAAACATAGATTCAGTCTTTTTCTTCTAGGAGGTTACAGGTTAGTGGAAGAGATATGTTGTGGAATATTAAAATGTTGGTAGTAAACTTAGATTTCTAAGAAAGACATAGAAGAAGTAACTGGGTTGGCCTGGGGTAATCAGGTAAAGCTCCCTAAAGAAAGGAGCAACAAAACTAAGTATTTAAAAACATATAGAAGTTGGCCAGGAATGGTGGCTCACTCCTGTAATCCTAGCACTTTGGGAGGCTGAGGCAGACGGATCACGAGGTCAGGAGATCGAGACCATCCTGGCTAACACGGTGAAACCCCGTCTCTACTAAAAATAGAAAAAATTAGCCAGGCATGGTTGTGGGCGCCTATAGTCCCAGCTACTCAGGAGGCTGAGGCAAGAGAATGGCGTGAACCTGGGAGGCGGAGCTTGTGGTGAGCCGAGATCATGCCACTGAACTCCAGCCTGAGTGACAGAGCGAGACTCCGTCTCAAAAAAAAAAAAATAAACTAAATTAAATTAAATTAAATTAAATTAAAATATATATATATATATATGTTAACCAGCAAAAAACAAATGAAGAATAACATTCTAGACAGAGGACGCAGCATGCATGAAGTCTCAGAAGTATAAACAGCACCTTGGAATAAGGAAAATCAAGTCAGTTCAGTGATAGAAATTTATAGAGTAAGGCTAAAATACTCTGTAGAGGCTGGATTATTCAAAAACTTAGATGCATACTAAGGAAGGTGCATGATGCCCTGTACCGAAGGGTGAGCTCTTGAAAGACCTTAAGCAAGGGAGTAACATGCTCTAATATGGATCTAAACCAAATGCAACTCAACCTGGATCTCTCTTCCAGACAAGTGTCTCTTGAATGATTAACAACAGACCGGGATGAACTCAAATAAATATTCCAGGGCCAATACAATTTTCAAAAAAGTATACCTGAGAGAAGTACAGGGGACTGAAAAGCCATCTAACAGGTAACATAATAGGAAAGGTCTTTACTTTGGCCGAATTGGTATCAAGAAATACAAAATATTAGAATTAGAAAGAACTTTCTGGTTGATTAGGTCCAACCCTTTCATTTCAGAGAAAAGGAAACTGAGACCTTGGGAAGAGAAGTCACTTGGTCCTGAACAACTTATCTCTCTTTTCATCATGTTCAACCATCAGTTTCATGAGGTTTGTGATCAGAGTAAAAGCCCTCTTGTCTGGCTTAGTTGATACCTTCAGACAGTCAATTATTTGAAAATGATCAAGTAGACCCTCCAAAATATACACATACACCTTGATATTTTAACTTAAAATGTATAGGGGTACATTCGCTCTCCAATCTTTCTATGCAGATTCAAGGCGTTCCTTTGAATAGATAGATACACAGTAGACACACAGGTGGAGTACTCTGTCTTCTTTCTACAACAAAACATAACTATAACACATCATGTAATATTTACAATTTTGGCCTATTTAAAGTAAAGTAAGAAGTTGAAGATACTTTGAAGATACTTGCAAAGGAAGTAAAGCAAGCATCCTTCCAATTTTTTTTCTAATCCTCTAAAGTGGTCTTACCTCTAATTCAAAAGCAATTTTATTTTTCTATCTCATCTTTATCAATGATTTTAAATCATTCAACTTATTTTTTAAAGAAATGATATTCCCTTTCCAAAAAAAATCATTATTTTAAATTACAGAGTATAGTATAATGAATACAATGACATAGAAAGGTTTGGAATTAAGCACAACTGTGTCTTGGTAAGCACATCACTCAATTTCTGAGAGGAGAGGTGTGAGAGAGGACCAGGTAATGGCCCAGAACCTAGTAGTGAGCAGCACATGGTCATCTATGTTTTAGAGAGAAAGGATTGAGTTGATGTGCTAAGTAGGATAAGCATAGATCAGTTAAGAGAGCTTCTGATGAATTTATTTTGATAGATGCGTTCATTATTCTGAGTTGTGATTCTGGAAAGATCGGGTGGGTGTTTTCTTGTTTACCTGATGTCACTGTTCACATCTTAAAAACTTGATTATCCAATATAATTATTCTGATGTTTGATGCAACTCTCTTTGTATCAGTCAACTGAAAAGAGAAGCTATCTTTCCACATGGTCTATGAATATAAAGAAAAATAAATCTACACATAATATTGACCCAACATTGACTGATAAACAGAACAGGAGTTTTTTAAAAAATGGGATTTGTATTACAAAGTATTCCCTGTTGATTCATTTAAGTTTCCTGTTCTTTTTGTCTTTTTTTAGATGAACATCTTAGATAGCAAAGTCAAACTTTACTGTGACACAATTAGGTACATATCAGTATCTCCGTTTTACTCAAGCACAACACTAAAACTGATAACTTGAAAAATGCAGTGTCTCTATCTATATGAACAGCATAGGTCTGTGAAATGGTAAGTTCATTCCTTGTGAAAGGCTCCCCAGTCACTTCCCTTGTTCCCAAACAATATCTGGTTTGAAGTTTTGGTGACTGGGTATACATAATCAGCAAACAGAAAACATGCTGGGCTTCACCTTCAGTAGCAACAAACTCAGAAGGAGGCAGCACGTGGCACGTATTCTCCTGGTTCCTAAAACCCATGTGTACCTTTGAATTTCTCAGCTTAAAGGCAATATTGAAAAATGATGTTTCCATCAACAAGGGAAACAAGATAACAGAGCATGCCAGAATTAAGAGATAGGTGCTCTGGAGAGAGACTAATGGTGGATAATTTGGCCTGAAGACAAAAGACCAGCTTTTAGGAGGAATGTCATCAAATTCTATAAATTAGAATTCGGCAATTTAAAATCTAAGAAGAAAGCAGAGGCTGTCTCAACAAAACACATTTTCTTATTAACAATAATTTATGCTGAAAGAACCTATATATTTGAAAAATCTGTCAAATAACCCTAGGGTAGGAAGTGGGTTTGGTTAGGTAAGGTATAACAAATGTTAGAGGGAAACAATAGGTACAATTCTCAATTCCTGTTTAACTTTAAGGAAATTGATGAGAGGGATAAGCCTACTAAAGTTTGTCAAAGATCCAGATGATAACATGGCCCCTGGATTCATTTAATTAACATTGTTAAATGTTTACCATATACTAGCTTCTGTGCTTAGGTATTAGAAGTACAAAGATGGAAAATAATAGTTAACTATTTTTGAATACTCAGTATGTACTCAACACTGAGTATAATAATGGATTAACAAGTTATTATTGTTTAATTCTTCTAATAATGCTAGGAAGTATGTATTATTATTATGTACCTTTAGCAGATGAGAAAACAGACTTTTCCAGGCTCACAAAATTAGCAAGCAACAGCTTACATTTGAGCTTGAAAAATATTAAGCCAAAGACTAACTTTATAACACTCTTCAATATCACCTCCAAGACAAGGTCTTGCACTCAAAAAGCTTGCTACTTACTGAGTGCAGGATAAGCAGGATTTGGCTAGGTAGAGAGAACCAAGGAAGAGAATAGCAGGAAAAAACAATAGTAAGGGTTTCAAAGTGACATTTCCAACCTTATTATGCCAACATTTTCCACTAGGACATGAACAGAGCCCATACTAGAATTGTCTGAACAACAAAAAAGTAAAGAAGTTCATTGAAGAATACACTGATTACATGTTAAAAAAAAATTGATTCAATTCCTGAGCACCTAACTAAATGTACTCTTTACCATCCAATATTTTTCTTCCAGAGTTTCTCACTAGGGAAATTGCCATTAGGAAAGTAACAAGTTAGCAGGGAAAGAGCAAATAGCTAGGAGCCAGGATTAAATCACTTCACAATGACATATATCACAACATCATGTTGTACAACTTGAATACATATAATTTATATTTGCCATTTATACCTCAATAAACTGGGGAAAGTTAATTAATAAATTAATTTTTAAGACATATATTTTAGATGCAACTGTGCCATTTACATAATGTATAACATTGGGGAAAGTAACTTGGCTTCTCTGAACCCAGAGATTTCTTCACCTGTGAAATGAGAACTATGCATTTTTTCTAGAAATATGCATTATGGACTTACCAAAAAAACCCCAAAACACCAAAAATTAAGATGCCAGCCGCTAGAAGAGGTGATAACAGTGCCCACCCAGAGGGTTGTTATGAGACTCAAATGAGGTTAAGGAAAGGTTGTCCAGGCATTCGGAAATGCTTGATATTCACTGAGCCAAGTGCTAGAGATATTAATACAATAATGAACAACAAAGCTTAAATTGTAGTCTCCAAATAAATGAATACAGATGTACCCCAGGGATACCAGAAGTCATAGCATAAACATATTCCAGAAACATTGTTTTGCTTAGACAATTTGGCAAGCAAAAAAAAAAAAAAAAAAAAAAAATATATATATATATATATATATATATATATTTCTTTTCTATTAAAACAAGCTCAGGCATATTGCTAAATGGAAAGCAGACTTTGCATTAGTTAATATAAAACATAATGCTTCCAAAAACTATGGGACTAGCAGCAGCCCACTTTGGTCTGTTCACTGTCCTTTACTTCTAAGGGGTTGCACTGGTTTAATTTTCTCTGTGCCCATCGGAGGGCGGTAGTTTTCTCCTAGCATTGCAGTGAAATAGGGGAAATTCATCCCGATTTTCTCCACATGCAACCTGAGGAAGAAAGTTTTCCAAGTTGGAAAGTTACAAGTCAAAGTATTGTCAGAAAAGGCTCAAAACTCTAAGCTGTTCTCACAAGTACCTCTTTATTGGCATCACAAGAGATAAAAAGAAAATCAGGAAAACAGCCTGTGAATCCCAGCCCTCTCCTGTAAGCCCATCCTTGCACTTTATGATTTGCAAGTTTGTTCTTTGTTATTATTCAGCAGCAGCCGTGCTACTTGAAAGTCAACAAAGGTCGGGCGTTTAGGGAGAAGAGAAACCCAGACACATGTTTCAAACATGTCGTGCTGCTCTCAGGTGGCTCACTGGCTCAGCAGCTGAGCCATGCATCTTCTCTTGGCCTGTTCTTGCTTTGGGACTCACCCCCTCTTTACACACCAGAGTAAGGAAACAAACAGCAGAGATGAAAGCGAAGCCAGTAGTAGAAAAAAGGACTCGTCTGGCTTTTTTCCATGTATTTGAACGATGAGTCCTCGGAATCTGTTGCCTTTTTTCTACTCTGGGCTTCAGCAGGACTGGAGGGAATGGAAATGTGCCCAGATTTTATTTCTTTTAAACAAAGTCCTATAAAGGCTATCTCATAACCTTACCCCATGGACTCAAATACAAATAGCAATGTCTTGGCCAGCAATCACAGAGTGAAAAGCCTACAGAGGACAGATGTTATCACATAAGATTTTAAAAAAATTTTAGGACTTTTAAATAACAGTTTCTTATTCCCAAGTCACACTCTGTGGTTTTTATTCTGTACACACTACATGCTGAAGTTTTATTTCTTGCAAAACAATGGCTTATGAGATTATTCTTTTTGAAATTATTTTTTCTTCCTATGGACCTCGGGTGCATAGACTTGGATTATTCATAATACAATGTTGTCATTGGGCAATGCATGCATTTTTATTGATTCACTTATTTATTACTTAGAAATTAATATGTGAGAGTTTTGCCACATACATATGTGTTCTTAAATAACATATTATTTTGTAGTTTGTTTTTAGTTATTATAAGAACCATGCCACGTTATAGACTATCTTCTGGAATTTGTGATTTTATTCATCATTATGTTATCAACACTCATTTAAGTTATTTTATATTGCCATAGATTATTCATTTTTACTGCTATGTAATATCTTATATAAATAAATTGCAATTTGGTTTTCCATTTTCTTCTCAATGGTCATTAAGTTGCTTCCACTTTTTTGTAATTACAGAGCTACTATAAACAGTCTTCAAATAAGTACCTTCTGCAAGACCATGAGTGAAGGCTCTTCAGAACAAAGTGAGAATAGTATAAGCCATCAGGCCTTCTCTTTATTTTGGTAGAGGATTTACTCCACCAATTTTATACTCCTCCCAAGAAAAAGCATTCCAAGAGTAACTAGAATATGTAAATTCATGTTTCCTACCTCCTACACATGGGCTACCTTTTGAGCACTGAGACAAAATAAAGCAACAAAGTTGCTTTATGACTCAACTTATTGAAAAAAATGAGGAAGTACCAACCCCAGGCACACCCCAGTAATATATATCATGATATACGTCCCACAAGGACACACGTAAATTCAAAATGGAGTGTTAATACTTACAAATCAGCAACTTGAGAGTGATGAAATGTTGAGTCAGTTCCTATTTAGTTCAGGGGAAAATTGGCTGATCTTATTTAATAGTTTTACACAAAGAATACACACATACAATAGATTTAAACACCTACATAGTACACATACATACACAAACACGCTCATATGTATTGTTCCGATGAAAATGCAAAACATGGTATATTTCTTCTTTTTAATTTTTTTTATTGGTTCACAGATCACATTGAGTTGGGAGAAATCAGTCAAGAACTAGTAGTAGTAGTAGGGAGTAGCAGTAATAGGATAGTAGTGATAGCACCAGTGCCGACATGAGCATTTACTCTTCATAGGTATTGTTCTGAGTGGTTCATGTGTATTTACTAATTTGATAAACAAACAACCCCATGAGGTAGTGCCCTTATTATCTCCATTTGTCAATGAATACTCTGAGACACAGAAAGTAAAACACATTTTCCATGGTTGTATAGCTAGTAAATTACAGAGATAGGATTCAAACCCGGGAAATCTGGCTTCACAGCAGATACTTGTAATTACAATATCTTGATAGTGCACAAGCAATGTAGCTTATTATAATCCTGCAGGGTGTAATCATCATTGAACTAGGCCATCTTTGTGGCCATATATAAGTCTCTTACCTCTGTAGGCCTTAATTTTCTCATATTAAAAAAAAATGATAGAGACGTCCTGGATAATCTTTAATGTATCTTCCAGCTGTGTTATTCTACGCATGTAAGTCCCTATGCAATTTATCTCTGATGATTAATTCTTTCATCTGGGCCTAACAAAATTAACCCTTGAATATTAGGAGTCACATCCAAAGTCATGAATTAAATGTCCAATTAATTCATACTGCAATAACCTCACCACTCCCAATACCTAACATACTTGCCAGGAAATACCAATAACAATGGACAATAGACAGTTGTGAGCCAGAAGAAAGGAGATTGGGGTGAAAACTTAACTTGGTTAGCCCTTTCTTTAGTGCTGGGATGCGGAGCAAGAGGAGAGAGTTTAAGCACTATAGCTTCCCAAGAAATCAGGAAAAAGAGCTCCATGGTTGAGATATGTGTCTGGAGAACACCTGGTTAGCCCATCTATAAACCCTGGAAGCCATATGAATCCTGTATGCAGGACGATCGATATTTAGAATTCAATTCCATAGGCATATTTACACAGAGTGGCTATTGAAAGCTCCCAGCTGTGGAATCCTGAAGCCACAAGTTGTATTTATGTGCAGGGCTGCTAATCCCTGGTCCCAGCTCTTCTCAAGTCTGTAGAAACACTTCGTCTCTATAGACAAGTCCTTGTAAATCTCTCCTTGTCAGAGGATTTAGTTCACTGATTGTCAGCCATGAGTTACTTCATAAAACAACTCACAGAGGAATAGAGCCTTCTGCTCTGCTTTTGGCAGAGAGCTTGTTACTCTAGATAACCTTTTAATGACTGTATTCCATTTTAACTCAGCTCCAGAGAGAGAAACTAAAAAGAAAGAAAAGATTCTTCCTTAATGCTATGCTGTTTTCATATTGCATCTACTAAGGCAAATTAGGAAAGATAGATAGAGGTTCCTTTTGACTTTTCAATCCCAAATCCTTATAACATAAAAACAAGCCAGTTGCTCATTGAGGAGGTGACATTCCAGGGCTAAAGGAACCACTGAAATAGGAAAAGACAAAGTTTCTAAACTGAAAATGATACCAAATCTGCATCAACTCTATTTTTAACACCTGCATCTGGCTAAGAGGTTACTTTTTAATTATATATTACACTTTGCAATGATTACCCTCATTTGAATAAATTGAAATTACTATTCAGAAGATAAAATATTCATTTAATGAGGCACAGAATCACATGACTGGGCATTTTTTTAAAAAAAATTTAAAGCAGACTTTATGGATAACTCTCTCCTGAATTAAGAGATTGCAGGAGAAAATTATCTTGGAGGAAAGCATGGAAAATGACTGCAATTATTGACTGAATTCTAAACAGAGTGGGATAAGGGATTTCACTTTGATATTTGGATGGAAGATAAGGTTTCTATAAAAGTAAAATCAGAGTTTTGAGAGCCCTGGCAAGAAAGTCTCCTACATTAGAGGTTTAAAGTTCTGTAACATAAAATAGTTCCCCACATTAATAACACTAAAAATTCAAAATTCTAGATGCAAGTTTCCTTGCATGATAGATAAATGACATCTAGAAAAGCATGGTTCTAATTACTCTATACAAATTTATGTTTAATTTGTACTAAATTTTCTTATCTGCTGCAGAAGTTCTCACTTGACCAACTTGCAGCATTAACCAGACCTTTCCATTCCTCCATAAAATACAGGGACAGATGACCTCACTATGTCTACAGCTAGTGGGTTCCTCTCTGGAACAGTATATACTTCTGCCTCACTCTTGGAGATGTCTGCTTACCAGGAGTCAGCTGTGTTCATCTCGAAACTAATTTATGGTAATACATACCTGTTGGCATCATTGTATAATTTAATTGAGGATAGTGTAAATTGATAAAATGTGAATCAACTGAGAAGGAGAGCTGTTTCCCTTCTTAGTTGATTAACATTTCAATGTTTTGGAAATATTGAATAGAGTGGAGTCACCAACAATTATTGATATAAGATGTAATGCCTTAGAAAGTAGCCTACTGGCCTTGCCTTGAAGCCCCTTTTCAATACACACATACTACCAACAAAATTATTGGGGTAGGAATCTACAAAGTTTATGCCCTCAATTTACTATTCAAGTATCTTGAACAGTGGTCAGCAAACAGTTACTCTAAAGGGTCACATAGTAAATATTTTAGGCTTTGCGGGGCCATAATGAGTCTTTGTGGGCTGTATAGTGGCAACTAAACTCTACTGCTGTAACATAAAAGCAGCCATAGATCGTATGTAAATGATTGGGTATGACTATGATCCAATGAATTCTATTTACGAACACTGAAATTTGAATTTCATATAATTTTTACATGTCACAAAATATTATTCTTCTTTTAATTTTTTTCAACCATTTAAAAATGTAAAACCACCCATTCTTAGCTCTGGGCCATACAGAAACAGATGGTGAGCCATAGTTTGCCAAACCCTGATCTTGAGTCCTCACACCACTGAAGAGAAGCAGAAACTGACAATCATAGATACGAATTTGGGGTTTGATTTATGTAAGTAGGAAAATGTAGAACTTTGTGCAACCAAAACCTATTCAGACAGAATATCTTGATGCTACATCAAAATATTGGTGGACAATTGTACATTTTAAGTTCAAATAGTAAAGTACATTTCTACCACTTTTAAGATTTTCAGTTTTATCTTTTTACTAGTTCGTTTTCACAATGCTATAAAGAAATATCGGAGACTGGGTAATATGTAAAGAAAAGAGGTTTAATTGGCTCACGGTTCTGCAGGCCATGCAGGAAGCATGACAACTTCTGGGGAGGCCTCAGGAAACTTTCAATCATGGCAGAAGGTGAAGGGGAAGCAGGCACATCTTACGTGGCTGAAGCAGGAGGAAGAGAGAGGTGGGGGAGGTGCTACAGACATTTAAACATCCAGATTTCCTAAGAGCTCTATGACAAGATAGCACTAGATAGATGGTACTAAACCATCAGAAACCACCTCCATGATCCAATCACCTCCTACCAGGCCCCACCTCCAATATCAGGGATTACAGTTTGACATGAGATTTAGGCAGGGACCCAGATCTAAACCATATCAATCCTCATTATAATTAGTCATGTCATCATGTGTTTAATGTCTGTTTAAGAGCAGGTGGGCAGGGACCATGTCTGCCTTTTTCACTGCTAGATTTCCTGGAACTGCTGTCATAGTTGTTGCTAAATAATCCGTTCAATAAATGTGTATTATTGAAAATAGTTATTGAGCAACTCCATGCCAGGTCCTCTTCCTGGCTCTATGGACACAGTAGTGAACAAGACAGACATTACTTCTGTCTTCATGGACTCATATGTGATGGACAAAAAATAAAAAATACACAACTAAATAAACCCTTCTTTAATAAATAAATGTTTAGGCTGGGCGCGGTGGCTCACGCCTGTAATCCCAGCAATTTGGGAGGCCGAGGTGGGCGCATTGCCTAAGGTAAGGAGTTCGAGACCAGCCTGGCCAACATGGTGAAACCCCATCTCTACCAAAAATACAAAAAAATTAGCCAGGCATGGTGGCAGGCGCCTGTAATCCCACCTACTGGGGAGGCTGAGGCAGGAGAGTCGTTTGAACCTGGGAGGCGGAGGTTGCAGTGAGCCGAGATCGCACCATTGCACTCCAGCCTAGGTGAAAAGAGCAAGACTCTGTCTCAAATAAATAAATAAATAAATGTTTAGCATCTTCCAAGCCAATATTTTCAAAATCAATAGTTCTTTATGAGACACTCTCAAAAATATCAACCAGTTACTTAACAGAAATTCTTTTCTCTGCCTATTGTTGCATCTCGATGTAGTCTAAGCATCAAAGCATTCCGTTGTCCTTTTGTCTTTCTCGAATTGAGTCAGTCACTACTCCAAGAAGGACAGAAATTACTAGTATATCCTGCTATTATCTGTGAGAAGACACAGCATGCCTAATGAAACACATATGTGGCTCAGGCTCTGTAATAGGCTGATAATGCACCCCTCCCCATTCCCTTAGATGTCCAGGCCCTAAACCCTGGAACCCACGCATATGTCTCCTCACATGGCAAAAGGGACTTTGAAGATGTCATTATGGTTAAGAAACTTTAAATGGGGAGGGTAGCCTGGATTATCCAGGAGAGTCCAATATAATAACATGAGCCCTTTAAACAGAACTAATGTCAGCTGAAGTCAGAGAGATGCTATGAAGAAAAAGCAGGAGCAATTCAAAGCATGCGACTCAGCCTGCCAGTGCTGACTTTGGAGATGGAGGGGGCCATAAGCCAAGACATGCAGACAGCCGTGAAAAGCTGGGAATGGACCTCAGCCAACAGCCAGCAAGGAGACAGGGAGCTCAGTCCTATAGCAGGAAGGAACTGAATTCTGCCAACAACTTGAATGAGCAAGAAAACAGATTCTCTCCTAGAGCCTCCAGAAAGGAATACAGCCTGCTGACACCTTGCTTTTGGCCTTTTGGGTGTCCAAACAGACCAAAGTGTACCAGACTTCTGTCCTACAGAAACTGCAAGATAATAAATTTGTGTTGTTTTAAGCCACTAAGTTTGCAGTGATTTGTTACAGCAGTGATTTCAGACTAATACATGCTTTCTCTGAGAATGCCTTTGAACATCACTGCCCCTTCTGTGGAGAAAGGTACCTACGCCAAGAAAATCAAGTCCCCTGCGCCAGGTAATTCATTTAGCAATCTCTCTAATGATAGTATTTTTTAAAAGACACTTGTAATGCTAATTACCACCTAATTATTGCAAACAGGGTGTAATCATGGACAATATTTCTGGAACATGCAATACAATTAAAGTTACAGAGTCATTTGGATTTATGTGAGCAAAGCAATTGGATGATAAGTATCTTGCTGAATCAAGATTATCACTTAGACTAATAATGGATTAATCTGTATGTAAATCACATCATCCAATTACAACTTCTGTTTGACATTCTGTCTGCTTTTAGGGAAAAAAGCATACTTTGCTGAGGTAAAAATTGTCATTATTATGCAATTGAAGAACCACTCACCATAATTCCCTTTGCTTCTGATTAGGTCTCATAGTGTTCATGACTCTCCATTTATTGTTCAGCCTGCTTGTTTGATTTAATATTATTTCAATAAGATGTCCAAAAAGAAGAGAAATTTTGTTTAGTGCAGGAAATAAAGGGTTTTCGTTTACTTCTTTCCTGAAGATATTTTTTAAGGAGGGCTTCAAGTCTCTCCTCTCTTTTGGACTTTGTGATTGTTCTGTTGTTTGTTTATTTGTTTGTTAGCATCACAAAGTAGACTCAGGGAGAACTAACGCAAAGTCATTATTCAAAGTGTAAGGAATTTGTAGGAACTGGAGAAGCAAAAATGAAAAGCAAGCCTGGTCTCGGTAAGTGGAAGATAAAATATGCAGAATGCTGTGTGACAGAATCAAAAAGGGAAAGGAGAAACAAAAGAGTGCCACTTTGAAATATAAAGCCATTGCTAAAACTCTGGAGGGGACACAGAAACCATTTGTACAAAAGGACTAGTTTATTCTCTTTGTTTGTGGGGCTTTGTAGGGGAAGGAGAAATATTTCCATGGATGCTTTGATTATATAAAGGAAATGTTCAAAGCCTGGTCCCAAAAGGAAAGGTTGAGCCTAGTAGGTGCTGAACTACCCTGCAAAACAATGGAAGTGGCAGGGCCTTTGCACAGCCTGTTCTTTTTGCCTAGACTGCTTAGCTAGTGGTATGCTGAAGCCAGCTCATAGAGGCTTACAGGAGCCAACTGTTACCATATATTCCCAGCTCCACGTTCAGTGCTATCACACTGGTGGTTTGAAATCAGTTCTGGTGAGACTATTTATGGCATGGAAATCTGTAACCCCTACAAATCAGTGCTCAAACATTAGCCAAAACACCTTTGTTATGCCAGAAATCTTCCTTTGGCCACATCCCTGCTTTATCCAGGTGTCATCTCAGGAAACCTTCCTTTGTTACCCTGTCTAAAGTGGTATATATGCCGTTCTTCTCATCCCAGTGGTTTCTAATGGCCTAGTGCACATTAAAATCACCTGGGGAGCTTTAAAGTCTAGCAATGCCTCACTCTAGGGCAATCATATGAGAAGCTCTGTGGGTGGTAGTAGATATGGGGATGTTTAAAGCCCTTAGGTGATTCTAACATGAAGCCAAGATTGAGAGTCCCTGTTCTATCCCCTTCCCCAGCTTGTTCTGTCTTCCTAATAAGCACCACTATCTGAAATGATATATTTAGGTATTACTCCCTTACTAGTAGAATGTAGGTTGCATGGGGACAGGGGCATTGTCTGATTGTTCAACACTGAATCCCATGAACCTAGAATCATGCCTGACACATAGGAGTAAATATATAAGTATTTGAGGAAGAAAGGAACAGAGGGAGGAAGGGGAGAGAAGGAAGAAAGAAGAGAGAAGGAAGGAAGGAAGGTGGGGGAAGAAGGGAAGGAGGAAGAAAAGGAGGGAAAGAAGAAGTGAGAGAAAAAGAGGGGAAGGAAGGCAGGGAAGGAGGGGAGAGGGATGGGGGAATAGAGGAGGAAAGAAGGGAGGAAGAGAGGGAGAAAATAATGGAGGGAGGGAGCAAGGAAGGATGGAAGGGAGAAAGAGACAGAGGGAGGGAAGGAAAAGGAAAAGAGAAAGAAGGGAGTAAAGGAGGAGGAATGAAGGAAATGGGGAAGGAAGGGAGGGAGGAACAGGCTGTCTTCATTTTGTATAGCTAGCATCCTTGGGAAGATATTACATTGTTAATTGATTTATTGCTTCTTCTGGATGTTGGAGGAAAAGGGGATTCTGACCTAATAAAGAAACTGTCTTTAGCAATATAGGGGTAGACAGGTGGCTTGAGGAGAAACGTGACTGGTTGGAGACATATCATCAAATAACAGAAACTAGGAACCAGCCTGTGAAATGACATCTGACAACTAACTTTAAGTTTTCTTGTTCTGTTTTTGCACAAACCAGCTTTGTGTTGGGACTGTTTGGGTACCAAAGAGACAGATCCACTACCCTTGTGATAAAGACAGGGATCAGAGGGTGTGCCATGTTTGTCAACTCTAAAGGAGGTCCTTCAAATTCGTGTTGGAATGAAAAGCAATCCCTTGGAGCTGTGCAGTATACAAACTGCATGGCCACACCAGCAGCCTGGGAAGAAGAGAGCAACCCCAAAGTATTGGGAAATAAACAGGGTGATCAGAGAGCAGCTCAAGGAAAGGGTCCAGAAATGGAGACTGTAAATAGCAAGGAGAGGTAAGTACCTCCCAAGTATCCTCAGAAACAGCTGTGAAAGGGCCTAGACTTTCTGCAGTGACATGGAAGAGGGTGTTTCTACCTAGATAGCAGAGGAGAAGGCAGTTCCAGAAAGATGAAAACTTAGGATTACATATGCATGTTGTAAGCAAAGCCAGACAAGCACACACCCAAGATGCATAAGGCTGCCTCTAGGTGTGCCCTGGGTATATCTGCAGCATAACTCATGTAAAGAGAAAACGTGTCCATGCAGCCAGAGAAGTTTTGTTTATAATGGTAAGATTTTAAAGGTCCAGAAGGAGACTGGCCAGAAGTAACAAGGATGTCCTTTGAATAGAAGATATGAAATATAAAACTAAGTCATCTCCTAGCCAGAAAGGAAGTGGCTCCTGTTCCTTCCCATGCCGGGAAGAAAATGCCAAATACTGTATGTATGGCTTTGATAATTCCCAGGTTCTCCATAAATCTGTTCACAGGAGACACAGAGATTCTGAGAGCCAGAGATGCAGGCCAGTGTCTGTGGGAACCTGCTCAGTATCAGATGGCAGCTTGATATAAAGAGCTTAGAACCATGTGTTAAGGTTTGGAATAGGGAAAATCAAAGAGAAAGTGAGACATGTTCTCAGATAGAAAACATGTCAGTGAACATTTTTGAGTCACTTTTCCCATGTCTACGATTTCACAGGGCAGTTGCGGGAAGTCAAGTGAATCTCACTTAGAAATGAGATGCCTACTAGGATTAACCTGGCTTGGCCACTAGGGAAGGCAAAGAGAAGCAGGAAGCTTTGGGAGATACTGCTCCAGGTGCTTCTGCACCAATGGTAAGTAAGGAGGTGACCAGCCTCACCCCAACCTGGGAGAGCAAGAAAACCTTCAGTGAGTAAAAACAACAGCAACAACAAAAGCAGAGTCATAGAAGCTTGGATTTCCTGAGCCTTGATTTTGTTTGTTTGCCTATCCCTCCTTTTTAACAGAACCCTGTATTGGTCTTTTGTCCAAGATAACCCTCGAAGGAAGAGCAATTTTATCACCTACTTAAATTGACCAATGAATAAAAAGCTAGTGGCTTGAAATGTACTCACTGCAGCTGGGAGCAGAGGACTGGTTCCTGAGACAGGCCTGACAAAGCTAATCAGCCTGCAGTGATAGGGGTAGCTGACAGGACTGGCTGACATTAGCAGATGGGGGCCATATATGAAAGGGCACCAGCTTACAGGGTGCACAGGTCTTGTTCCCTGGGGCTGTCTAACAGGGCAGAGATACCCACAAGACAGTTGGAAGTAAATGTTAGATGTCTAGAGACTATAGAAGGACCCAAAATTGGGGGTAGGAAATGCATTTTCCTCACTCAAAAGAACTATGGAGCAAGGTCTCCAGAATGTGAATCTCTAAAATAGACTTCAATATTGCCCTGGAGAGAAAGAATCACCTGTAAATAGCTGTTGTGCCAAAGAGTTAGAGACCAGTTTCATCTAGTGCTAGTTCAAGGTAGACTTTTCCTATCATCTTCCCCCTCTTCTGTCTCACCTCTCTGAACTTGGAAGAGTCAGCAATTAGCTAGCAAGCTGGGAAGAAGGGAAGGAAGGTGGAAGACAGAAACACAGAAAGCAGTCAACCATGCCCCGGCCCTCCTGCCAGCTGCCAGCCTTGAGCTGCAAGCCCCAGCTAAAAAGGAAACAGAGAATTTGATGTTAAATCTTCATTGTTCAATATCTTGGCCTTGACATTCTAATTTCTGTGTTCAAGTCTTGTTTGCAACTTAAGCCATCTGAGAACTTTCTATTATATTATCTAAGAGGAGTCAGAAAAACCATAAGCCTAAGGAAGTGGGGACAGGAGATTTCCGCCACTGAATAAATTTTATTTATTTTTTTTAAGAGACAGGACCCCATTGTCACCCAGGCTGGAGTACAATGGTGTGATCACAGCTCACTGCAGCCTAAAACTCCTGGGCTGAAGCAATCCTCCCATCTCAGCCTCCTGAATAGCTGGGAATACAGGAACATAGCACCACACCCAGCTAATTTTTGTATTTTTTTAGATACAGGGGCTTTCTATGTTGTCCAGGCTGGTCTTGGACTCCTGGCCTCAAGTGATCCTCCCACTTGAGCCTCCCAAAGTGCTAGGATTACAGGTGTGAGCCACCATGCCTAGCTCTGAATGAATTTTAAAAGGACTATGGGATGCAAAAAAAAAAAAAGAAAAAGAAAACTGTAATTATGTTGCATTGTCATTTGTATAGTTCAAAACAGCAGTTACATAAAAATTGGGAAAGCCTATACCCTCCTTCATAACTTTTTTCTGCAAAACGGGAAAGTAAAAGAAATATATTTAAGGGAATAGTACTTTCCCCTTTGACAGCAAGAATTGTGGTGGTAGGAAGAGATTTTAACCACACAAAATGACAAGGCAAGGAGGATATTAGAGTAACCTTGGAAAGCCAAATATGTAGAATGCATTGATAGCACCATAGAGTCAGTGACACATTCCTAAAAGTCCTGAGTGTACTTACCAAAAGAAGAATGTGGCCCTTTAGAATCATTAAGATTTATGCACAAGAAAGTAGTAGTAAAGTAAAAAAGAATCCCCTGTCCAGTCACACTAAGGAAATAGCAAGAATTAATTGTTGAAGAGCTGGAGGATTTGGCATAAAATATACGTACAATGAGAAAATGCTCCAGTTTGATTAGGAAAAAATTTTGAAACATGATTAAAATCTATGATCAAAACTGGAACAAGAAAGCCTCCTCCTCTTTCAAGGGGTAGGCATCAGTGGGATATTTTTCAAAATAATATAGAGAAAGCTCTCAAGGGAAGAGTAAAGCCAGAGGCTTAAAAGAAAAAATCTATATCCCCTGCTGCAATATACTTACTGAAGTGAAGAACTAGAAGAGACAAAAATGGCAAAATTGAAGCTGGAATAGGGAAAATCAAAGACAAAGTGAGAGGTTTGTATAGATACGGTGATATCAGAAGAAGGAAGGCTCAAAAACCTAAAGACACTGCCTATGGTGTCTTAAAATCAGCAAGATTGAAGGGAGAAAGGGTAGATGGGGACCTGGAACAAAGACATAGGTGGAAACTGCATCCAAGGGGAACCATAGTTAAGTTTTGAAAATGAGAAAAGTTACAGTTACAAGGAGCTGAGGAGGGCACAAAGATGAATTGGGCATGTTGTTGTCATCAAGATACTTTTAATTGGGGGATGGAGGTATATATTCAATTACCTTTAATAAAATGCAGGACCTGATAAGTAATACAGAAACACAAAATAAGAAAAGATAAATTGAAAAAATATTAGCTGAATTAATTAGCTGAATTAATAATAATAGCTAAAAATAGCCCTTGAAGTGGACCTTAAAATATCACTTATTTGGGGTACAGTAGAATTTACATAGGAACACTTGAGTCAAAGGCATTCTGGATATAAAGGGTAATATGGACAAGGCTGAAAATTGCAAGATGGGTCCAAAAGATTGTGAAAAGTCTAATGTAGCTTGAACTAGTTAGACACATACATAATTTTTCAACCAATTAACAACTAGGTGATAATTAACTCACTGTTGAATAGAAGCTGAGTTCCTGAGCTAAACAGACCACTACTGAAATCTAACAGTTCATTGAAATCATCTACCAAGATTGTTAAACACGTAAATTCCTGAAGCCCATCCAGGAAGATTCTAATTCTATAATTTTGGGGTAAGCCCCTAAAGAAAGCAGTCAATAAGCCTAAATTTGTAGGAACTATAGAAGACTTAAAGGATGATATTTGACCACACTTCTAAATGAATAAAAGATGAAATAACAGATGCAACAAGACAAGAAGCATATTACTTGTCATTGATTAGACATTGTTTTCAATCATTCATGTCCTATTGTAAGATCTTGCAGTGCACAAGAGTGGGCACAGTGTATTTTCCTGGTCAAATGATGTTGGGTTTGGCCAATAGAATGTGAATGAAATGACAGTGTCCAGTTCTGAGCCAATTTCATAAGAGGTCATGTGTTTTTGCCCTCTTGAGCACCTGCTGTTGATCATGAAAAGAATATGGCAGCTGGTTCATTCAGGAAGAATACAGAGACATAGGAAGCACACCTAAACCCAACCTGCAGCCGAGCCTAGCCAACCAGCAGCTAGAAATTCTCTAGCTGACCTGCAGGCTAAATAAATGAGGAAAATAAATGCTTGCTGTCATAGTTCACTAAGTTTTGAAGTCATCTGTTAGACAGCATTATTGCAGCAATAGCTGATTAATAATTAAATCGAAGGCCACCTTGTATCCTAAGCTAAATTTTTCCGTGACTCTAATTCCCATCCCAAATTATGCATACCTACTTTAGTCAATACAGCTCCCCAAATATCTCATAGAAATAAAAAAGCAACATAAAGACCCTCCAATATCAAACACACAAGGTCAAATATGACCTCTGCTCATTATCCAATATGCAGAAAGAAACTGAAATTCAAACCTCAAATTCTTGATTTCCTATAAATTAAAGCCCATAGCAACTCCAAAGTCCACATGCTTTACAGTCCAAAATCCTTACTCTCCAAGTAATCTGCTCAATGTCATCATGAAGTATGTCAATATATTTGAAACTCCTTCATCAAATGCAGCCTAAACCATCTTCCACTGAAATATACACCTCTATAAGAAGTTCTGAAGTTGGATTCATTCAATCTCAAATTCTCATAAATCCAAATTACACTCCCACATTATATAGAAAACAAGTCAATCCCAGCTCCTTGTGAGGTTGCAAAATAATATTCCCAAAGCCAGTACTTGGAGAAATCTAGCCTCATATTAACTGTTGACAAAGACCAGAATAGAGTCTTCAGAGGAATCTAAAGAGAAAGGGAAAACAGAAAGGATTCTCCTGGATTCAACCTCATCAGGATGCCAGATCATCTATCCCAGTTGTTTAGATTTCATTACATTTGATCCTACACTCAAGTGTGAGAAACTTCTCATTAAGATGTTAATCATAAAATGTAGATCATAATCCTATGGTCATGACACATGAGGGATGGGGTTCTCACAAAATAGCATTTCAGAGATGTTCATGTCTTCTTGAAAAGTTTAAGAATTTGCAACTATGTCAGCCCCAATCACTAGGTTATTTTATTAGAGGTGCTTTTTTATTCTATTCAATTGATTTACATCCTCTTGGTTTCTATGTCCTATTGGGGCCCTGTCTCCTGGCACCTCAGTGCTGAAATCGTAGTGAGTACAATCACCTGAGTTGACCTAAAGAGCAAAGGTTTTTAGTCCTGTGACAAAGGCTATGGATTTGTTTACACCTGTGAAACTTGCCTCCTCATACCCACTTTATTTTTCTGCTGGTGAATTACATTCAACAGACTCCTGAACTAAAGCTGCTATAGATAGTTCTAGAAGCCTGTGCCCCTAAGAGCCCAGTGAGAACCAAATCTCTGCCATCACACCTTTCAAACTCCTTGTCTTTGCTTGGCATTTTCTGAATGAAAATACCTTAATGACCACTTCAGCGGCAAGAGAAATATTTTCAGTGGCCACAAAAATATTTCTATATTTTCGGATCCATCAATATTTTCATATATTCAGATCCATCACGTCCTCTGGGTACTATCAGATTTGGGTTTGAATCATCCTCACTGATCTGCTCAAACTATAGCGTGAGCCCTGGCAAATCCTTAGCACAGACATCTTTTCTTTTCTCGCAGCCATGAGATATGCCTCTGGTGTTCTACTTGCCTCTTTTATTTCCCTATTGCTTTAAGAAGATGCAGCTGCATTTTTAACAGCTTATCTTGTCTCTCAGGTGGCTCCCTTTCCTTCTCTATTGAGTGTGGGACAATCACTCACCCAAGGTACTATAGCCCTACCTAGTTCTTTCCAGCTGGCTGAGGCAGGGGACTTTTTGGCGTTTATTTTTGCCTTGTTTTACACGCATTAAAATGTTAGGATACTTAAATCACTTGGGGTACTAGGTAATGTATAATTCATAAGGAAACAGCCAGCAAAAAGGTCGAGTACATTGTAGATGAGAGGAAAATGGAAAACGTGAAAAGCAAGTGATGAAAACTTTAAAATTTTGAGACATTGATATGCTATGTGTGTGAAAGTGTTTTGGCTTTGGGGGTGAGAATAGAATATTTAACAACTCTATATTTTTAAAAACATTTGAGAATCAAGTGCGATGATATATGTGACAATGCTTTGGAAAGTATAAAGTATTATGTATAAATAAGGGACTCATTAGTAGTCATGATCATTCTATAAGATGCCACTAATGATTGTATTTAAGGAAAAATGTGGGTGGAAATGCCAGCATCATGGCACCTTCCTGGATAAGAGAGGCTGTCCTTCACTTTGAGGCCTGTGAGAGTAAATTAGCGCTAATTTTAATGTCTAAGGCTTTGGCCAACACAAGTACTTTGTCAAAGATAAGACAAGGTTTTTCTACCCTGAAAGGGAAATGTCACCTGGTCCCTGCCTCTGGCCTGAATTTAGTCTATGAGAAGTTGCCTCCTGGGTCCAGAGTAGAGAAGAATAATGATGGAGACCAGAGCTGTCAGAGCTCAAGGCCAAATTATATTCACCAGCTGCATCTACACAAGGACCCACCTGGTTGCTGCCAAGAATAAATCAGACACTCTGACTCCGAGGCTTCCAGGACTTGCAGGGTGGGGCCAGTGGTAGGAATGACCTCATGATTTAGGAAAGATCCATCACTATCCTCTTGGGTACTATCAGATTTGGGTTTGAATCATCCTCACTAATCTGCTCAGTCAAACTGCAGTGTGAGTCCTGGCAAATCCTTAGCACAGACATCGTTGGGGCAAATCCTCAGGTTGCACTGCTGTCTCTGCTATTTTTGATGGATGAAATGACCACTTTCCAGGGAATGAGACATCTGGGATGAACACCAGCTGCCCTGGAGTGTTTGCAGGTGATCCAGGAGGAATATTTGCCCATCTCCAAAACCACAGAGTGAGGGTCTGGTGGAAATGCATGCTTAGCCTCCAGCCACATCTGTGGGAGGAAAGCACAAAGTGTGTCTCAAAAATGACAATGAGGCTGCCTGGGTCAGCAAACCCATCAGTGAGATGCTGTCCAGCGATCAGGTATTCTGGTATTTGATACCCTTGTTTCTCCTTGTGATCAAAGAAAGGTAACTAGGCTGTGTTTAGATGCCCGCGCCCCACCCCACCCCCCCACCCCACTGCCATGCTTAAGCTGTCTGGCTAAATGGCCAATGCCCACCCCACAAACAAGGGACATTACAGAACAATGGAGCGTCTGCCTAGGAAAAATCTGCATCAGGACTCCTTTGTGATGTAGCTGTTTTACTCTAGTTCATTTTCCCTGTGCTGTATGCTTCTCATCCAGGGCTCAGCCACCTGGCAAATACCAGTTAAGCTTCATGGAATTCTGTCCTACAAGAGTACACAGAAGCTCTCAAATACATTTGAGACACTGCAGAAAAGGAATTTTCGCAGTATTCAGAAGAAATAATGGCAGGGGTTTTCTCCAAGTTCTTACCTTGTGTTCCAGGACATCATCTAGGAGGACAAGATGGATTTTCCTAGAATCCCAAAACAACGTAACACAATATGCTAGGAAAACCAGGATTCCACTCCTGGCTCCAATATTGACTAGCTGAGCAACCTTAGCTAAATGTTTTAACTCTCTAAGCCCTTACAAAATAAGGATAGTAACATTTACCTTGCCTACTTCCTAATCCAACAGCCTGCTGTAAAGATGAAATGAAAAATTCTATGGACAAATTCCATGGACAAGAGGTTTTTTTTTTTCTTAACTTTGAAACACAAAGTAAATATTAGTGAATATTAGTAGACTGCATGTCTTGTTATGCTACACCAAATTAGAATAACTCAAAAAAATATAAAATGTGAGAACCAAGTCAGAAAAAACCATCCCCCAGACCTCATGGCTCTGAAAGTAGTTGCTATCAATACCCAATGAAATAAATACTCACAGGATCGTTGACATTTATTGTTGAAAGGGAGCTGGGGAAGTCTTTAGTTGAAACAGTATAACATAGATGTGGAGAGTGTGGATTTTGTAGTAAGACTACGTAAGTTTGAATCTGGCTCTGCTACTAACTGCCTTGAGCAAATTACCTAATCTTACTTAAATCTCCACTCTTTGCCTTTAAAATTGCAATGATGATTGCACATACCTCATGGGGTTATTTTGGAGATGGACCAAGGTAATGAGTATAAAGTACTTAAATGCTGTCGTTAGTGCTTTTAAAATGCTCAATAAATGATAGATATCATTGTTTCATGGGGCTAATTGTTTTATGATGTGCAGAGAAAAGAAGTGGTTTATACAAAAAGAAAAAAAACTGAACTCAGATCTAATTCTTTCTTTAGGAGTCCATGTAGAATTTCATGTTTTCCATATGATTTAGAAAACATAGAATAACATTGGCTGAGTTTCTAGATATCCCCACTTATCATTGGGAGTGTTCATAACTTCTGTGCCCCAGTTCAAGTCCAGTGCTGAAAAAAATTAAAATTCAGTAAAATTTTTAAAAAGAAAAAACAGACTAAGGCAGATTGATGAGAGGGGGGCAGCTCACAGTAGCATTATGGACCTTCCCTGGCATCAAAGAGGTCATTTTCTGATGCCAATTTTATACCAGTTTTAAACAGAATTGAAATGCCATGAGATACCTTATCTTGAATTTGATCTGTTGCAAAGGTGTCTCCATAGATTAATTACTGGGTTTTCTTATGCGTGTCTTGGCATTGTCCCTGTCAGTTCAGCTACAGTGGTTACAGAAACATTCCTATGAGGCTATGTCATATCTCCAAAGACATCAGGTTCCTTCCCACCCCTGGCATCATGAATCTTATTCCACTCAGGAATAAGTGTCTCTGCTCTGCTTCATCCCAGATATAATCTAACAGAGACTCTTCCCTTTGGCCAGAATTGTTTGGGAAGTAAGCAGGGAAAAGGGCCTGTGTTCTGATGAGGCCAGAGCTAAGCCAGAAAGCTGAAGGAGAAAAAATCCTGTATCTGATTCCTGTAGCCAACATGGTTTTCCCTCTCTTCTCCATCTGCCAAAAAACACTTTTCTTCACTGAACAGAAGAAACATTCTCTCTTTCTATTATTCTCCAACAGCCCTGTAAGTCCAGAGCCAGCATCCTCTCACTGGATTTTAAGGCATCAATACACTGGGAATCCAGTGGGTCTGACTTTAATACTGGCCAAGAGCTGGGCTTTATTACCACAATACTGTGTCACCTATGATGTGTCTTTTGGCATGAGTTCCTGAAGAAGGGCACACTCATGTTAAAATCTGTACTCCTCCCAACAGGGATATTCCTCTCTGATGAGCCATAGCACTTAGTTTCTGCATCACGTGTTGGGCAACATTATTTCCTAATCCATCCATTCTATTGCTCTGTCACCCTGTTATTTCACTCTTCTGTAATTTGTCTTCTGCTTATCTCACTTCATCAACTAGATTTCACATTCCTTGAAAGCAAATCATGTAATGCTGTTGTCTTTTTATCTGTATTAAAGGTTTTGGTGGTGATGTTTAGCCAGAGCGCCTGGCATTTCTTCCTCTCCTGTATCAGTCACACAAATACAAAAGAAAAATAAAACAAGGCCAGGTGTGGTGGCTCATGCCTGTAATCTCAGTGCTTTGGGAGACCAAGGCAGGAGGATTGCTTAAAGCCAGGAGTTCAAGATCAGCAATGAATGATTAGCTCAAGAAAGTTGGGGAATTATGTTAATCACATAATACCCACTCCACAGGAAGAAAGAAGTAATACTTCTTCCTTCCTGGTTGAGAAAAAGAAACTTTTATAAAACTGTTTTCTCTTCTCCAGTTTTCTTCCAACTCTAACCTTTCCCATCACCAAGACAACCTTTATAACAAAAGGGATAAAAAGAGAGGCTTCCTATGTTTGTACCACTGAAGAGCTTTGTCTCAGCATGGAGGTATTCCATTGCTTACAACATCCCAAAATAGTCCTTAGCTAGAATCCTCAGCAACCAATCGGCTTTGAAAGAGTCACATTGCCTAAGTTATATATAGATAGATAGATACAGATATTGATATATATAGATTCTATATATATACATATAGAGAGAGAAAGAAAGATGCAGAAAATGGCAAAGCGATTGTAAAACAATTAATTGGTATATCAGAAGAAAAGAAAAGAAAGATACTATGCAAAAAATATGGCCCCTCACACCCATTCTCTCTTGAAAGCAATGATGTTGGATCCCTCCCTGAGAGTTCTACTTGAACAGGAAATTTTCACACAGTTAATATTAGACCTCTAGGGCATCCAGTCTATTCATGCACTTCAACGTTTCAAACCATGCCTCTCCTCTGATCCTTTGAAAGTAGCTGCCTGGAGTGCTGTACTGGGGATTCTCATAAAAAGATCAGGTTCACTATGACAGCGCTGTGATAGATTAGCAATGTCTGCTATGGACAAAGTAGAGGACAGTATCCGCATGGATGCCAGGGGTTTGTTAGCCCTAAAATACACGTTCCAAACTGGAAATATCAATAAAGTAGCATGGAAAACCTGAGGAGGGGCATTAAAAAATATTTTCAAAGGTAACTGTATTTTTAGCTAGGCCTGAAAGAGGGACAAAATTTCAGTGTGTGGATTAGAGGGGCAACCTGACAGCTGAAATTGAATAGCATAAATAAAAGCACAGAGGCAGAGAAATTGGGGCTTTTGCAACTTTAAGAAATAAATCATGGACTATTGTGGGTGGTGGGTTCAAGAGATGATGGTGACCCAGGGTCCAGTCCAATGATGTCCGGTAGAAATACAATGTGATCCACATGAATAATTTTTTTATTATTTTGAGACAGTGTCTTGCTTTGTCACCCAGGCTGGAGTGTGGTGGCACAATCTCTGCTCACTACAACCTCTGCCTCCCAGGCTCAAGCGATCCTCCCACCTCAGTATTTTTTGTAGAGACAGGGTTTTGCCATGTACTTCAGACTGGTCTTGAACTCCTAGGCTCAAGCAATCCACCCACCTCAGCCTCCCAAAGTGCTGGGATTACAGATATGAGCCACCGAGCCAGCCAACATGTACAATTTTAAATTTTCCAGTTGCCACATTAAAAAAATAAAACTTTTTAAATTAATTTCTTTTCTTTCAAAAACATTCCACTGTGGACAAATCATTAGAGAACTCACAGCAAAATTCAAAATTCTTTAGATTAATGAACGTGATGTAGCGGCTGAATTATGGCAGCTTGCATGACACAGACAAGGGGAACCATAAACTATGTGATAACAACAGTATCATAAAATGAAAAGAAATAAAAGAATATCCCCAGTGCTCTGGTTCTGATCAGACTAGCCGATAAGAGGAGAGAAGATAAAAAGGGGAAAGGAAGGCTATCAATGCTGTAAGCTTGCTAATAAAGAACATCAACAACTGCCTGCTTGGCCTCTTCTATGAAGAAGAAATATGGGATTCATTGTTTTTTCAGGAAGAATCTGAGTTATTCCTTGCAAGTTAATAACCTTGGGGAGGTTTTATAGTTGCATAGCTGGATTAAATCTTTATTATCTTTTTTAGGGTCCACCTTTTTTTTTGAAGAAGCAGATCTTTTTACATTGTGATGGCGATCTTTACAATGAGGATTATTATTCTTTCCTAGTTTCTTCTCCCAAGGCTTCTCCCCATTATCATTTCCTGTACAAAAATGCACCAGATTTGAACTCTCAGGAGGAAGCCTGCTAAGATTATCAGGGAGTTAGAATGCTACAAATGAGTGGTATGACACTCTGGAAAAAGCACAAGCTTCAGAGTTAGTCCAAATTGAATCCAAACCCTGGTCCTGGTTCTGTTAGTTATTAGCTGGGAAAACATGGCCAGTTTTCTAAACCTCGCCTAGTCTCAGTTTCGTGATCTCTAAAGTGGTTAGAATAATGTCTGTCTTTTAGAATTTTTTTGAGCATAAAATGAAATAACTTATGTAAAACCCTTACACAGGATGACACCAAAGATGCTCAGAAATGAATAGTTCATTATTGCAATCAATACATACTGGTCAGGTGCCTACTATATTCTAGACAATATTCTAGGGGTTGCTGAAACAGCAATAAAAAAAAAGAGAAAGGCTCACTGATGTTATTGTTTTGTAATATCCACGATAGTGATTGCCATTAGTATAAATTCCCAATATTACCTAAAAGATAATATGGCAGTTATCACATGCCTGACCTAAAAATGAGATAAAATGTCTGAAGCTAGATGTTTTTCTTAGAAGTTCTCCAGTCCTGCTTCTTTATTTTGATTATGGGAGAATTTAGCTCCAGGAAATAAAAATCACACTGAAGTCTGGAGATACAAAAATGAGTAAGACCTAGTGCTGTCTCCAACTAGCTGATGATTTTAACAGAGGCTACAGACACATAACAAGACACCAGCAGGTGTTTATCAGTGTGATATCAGACTTTCACCGAAGGCAGCCATTGGTTATGATGAAATGTGAAAATGCACATAAAGTGCTCAGCTCAGAGATTTCCCTTCAAGCTCTGAATCTGTGGTGCAGAACGACTTTTCCAAGTATTTTTGAAAGTCTCATGCAATGTGAAATCCCCTGATTCTATATCAAGGGCTTCTACCATGCCATCCATCTTGTGAAAACTGAGAAAGCTGTATTAGACAGGCAGGAGAAAAGGCATGCAAAGATTCAAATTCAGTGGTAAAATCTCTCAGGATTGATGGGTAACAACAGAGGTTCAATCATATCCATGTAGAGAAAAAAAAACAATAAACGCTGATTAGCAGACATGCTCAAGGATGGCATGGGGAGTTCAATATATTTGAACCTTCTGGTCAGCTGATTGCCAAAGAGAATTACTTTTTATTTCAATGTTTTTTTCTCTCCAATTTTTTTTTCTTTTTCAACTAGCAGAAATATAGTTAAGATTTTTCTCTATATTGAATCACAATAAATAATAACTCTTACTTTGTTATATTGTAAATTCATTCTTGCATTCATTTACTCATTCATTCATTGAGGATCCACTATAAGCCACTGTGGAGCTGTGAAACTGACCTACACAGATTTTTTTTACAGTCCTTGCATTCACAAAGTTTATGGTAGAAAGGGAATATGGACAAGTAAAGGAGCAATCACAGTATAGCAGGACATACATTATGACAAGAGAAGTAGAGGGTTCATGGGAACACATAGGAATGTCACTCAACCCAGGGTTTAGGGAGCAGGGAAAGTTTCTGAGAAGTGATAGCCGAACATGGACCAAGAGTGCTCAATGCAGAAGAAATAGCATGTGCAGAGACATGGAATTGAAAGAGAACAAGGAATTTCTGAAGAACTAAAATATTCAATTTGTTTGGAGTGTTAGATACAAGGAGACAAATGGCAAGAGATGAGTCCTGAAAGGTAAGCAGAGGAAGATCATGAAGCCATTAGCACATTTAGATTTGGTCCTAAAAAGACTTGGATGATGTAGAAGGAAATGATGAAGATAATGATGAAAAAATAATAGGCTGTGGGGTAGCCATTTGTTATTATGGGGAAAAGAGCTAGTGGTAGAGGAGTCTGCAGTAATATGAGTATTTACTATTGAGCATCTATAATAAGCCAGACTCTATGATAAGCAATTTCTTAGTTAACACTCACAATCTAACATGAATAAGTGTATAACCACTCTGCTGCCATGTCAAGAATGGTTTAGAGGAAGACAAAATTAGAAGGAAAACCAATCAGGAGGCTACCCTAGAATCAAAGTACAAACTCATGGTGGTTTAGACTAGACTAGAGTAATACTGGTAGAGATGAAAGACATTTGAAAAATATTCATGTCTAAGATTCAGGATCCTGGGTACCCTATGGATGTTACTGTAAACATCAATTCTTACTATTTATAATGCAATCTAGAAATTTTGGGTTATTGGATTGTATCTGTATTGAACCCAGATCACACTCTTTATATGTCCTGGTTGATCAAACCTTTATAAGGAATATCATAAATTGTTGCTTTTTTTACAACAGTCAAGTTCAGAAACAAAAAGCATTCTGTCTTTTCAGAGCTCTAGTAGTCAGGGTTATAAATATTGCACATTTTGTCATTAATAGAGAGTGAATAGGAAGAATTACAAGGTCCCATAGAGACCCACACACTGTGATGAGATTGACCGAAATCTTTTCTTAGGAATTCCAGCAAATGTTTAGCCCCCAGAGCATTGCTATAAAGAGGGATATTAGTTCATTTACTAACGAACTCACGGTGCAGAATGGGCTGTATGGGATAGGGTGCAATTATAATGCATCTTTAGTCTTTCTCATATCCCCAGTTAAGCACACTCTGTGAATCCCTTTATCCTCAGCCCAGTTGACTGTCAGGCAGGCCCATGACTTCCTGGTCCCTTCAGGTCAAGAATAGTCTCACTTCAGTAATCAAAATACCTCATCCAATGTAATAATCAAAACTCAAAACCCATGCAATGTAAGATTTCTCCCTCCCCTGCTCCCGAGGCATTCCTCAGTCTTGGAGCCTGCAGTAGGGACAGGGATGTGTCCATCAGCTGTGTCCCACACCATCTACTCCTCCCCACACAGCATGATTCTAGAAATGGCCTCAAAGCTCTTCATCCTTGGGCTCAGAGGAATAAAGGATGAGGGTAAAAAGGTAGAGTTGGCACAGTCTCTGTGGCAGTGACCATTGTAATTTGGTGTTGGTTCCTTCAGGGTGTGGAGCTGGTTCTTTCATGGGGGCAGTTTGACAGGTTCTTCAGAAATCCCTCTGCTGGAAACCTCTGCACTGCTTTGAGGAGGAGGATGCCTCTTCTCTACATAGACTTCTACCAATACAGTCTTTCTGCCTGTCCAAGCCGTCCTTTTGAAAGGAAGCCTTCATTACACACACACACACACACACACACACACACACACACACAGAGAGAGAGAGAGAGAGAGAGAGACAGTTTGGATATTTGTTCCTCATAAAACCTCATGCTGAATTGTAATCATCAGTGCTGGAGGTAGGTCCTGGTGTTTGGATCATGGCTTGGTGCTGTCTTCATGACAGTAAGTTCTCGTGACATCTGGTGATTTAAAGGCATGTGGCACCCCCCCCACACACACTCTCTCCTCTTGCTCCTGGTTTTGCCAGGTGACATCCCTTCTACCCCTTCACCTTCGGGCATGATTTTAAGCTACCTGAGGCCTCCCTATAAGCAGAGCAGATGCCAGCACCATGCTTCCTATAAAGCCTGCAGAACTTTGAGCCAATTAAACCTTTTGTCTTCATAAATTACCCAGTCTCAGGTATTTATTTATAGCAATGCAAGAATAGCCTAATAGAGAGAGAGAAAAAAAAAGAGAGATTTAAAAAATACAAAGAGATAAAGACATACGGGCCGACCCCCAGAAAACAGGCACTTTTGCCCCATGCAGATCACCCCCAATACAGCCAAGCCAGCAGCTGTAGCCAGAGAATTTTTCCTCTGATCTTCCTCCAGGGGAGTATCCAACAGGAGTCTCACATTTCCTACATTTCAAGAACCACATGTCAAACTTTCTGAACGTTCCCCTGATGCCCCTCTCATTGGGAGTAAGGTGATGGGAAGCAACACTACTGGCCTCTGCAAGTGATATGGTTTGGCTGTGTCCCCACCCATATCTCATCTTGAATTGTAGTCCCCATAATCCCCATGTGTTGTGGAAGGGACTCAGTGGGAGGTAATTGAATCATGGGGGCAGCTTTTTCCCATGCTGTTCTTGTGATAGTGAAAAAGTCTCACAAAATCTGATGGTTTTATAAACGGCAGTTCCCCTGCACACACTCTCTTGCTGGCCACCATGAAAGATGTGCCTCTGCTCCTTCTTCACCTTCTGTCATGATGGTGAGGCCTCCACAGCCATGTGGAACTGTGAGTCCATTAAACCTCTTTTTCTTTATAAATTACCCACTCTCATACTTCTTTACAGCAGTATGAAAACAGATTAATACACCAACTGAGGGGAAGAAAAATGCACAGTTATTGATAATTCTCTCTCAGCCTCTTATGTGAACTAGAGGCAGATGGCTGCAAAACCCATTCACAGTCTTACTGGCATGCCCTGCATCAATGGCCTTACACTTCATTTTAGGATGGCATTTCACTTGGAATCTAAGTGTGTCTTTTTCACCTCTTAGGGCCTCTGCCAAAACTCTGAGACAAGAGGAAGAGATGCACATAAAGATCTCTTATTTTAAGAAAGACTAGGGCCAAGTATTGGGAATTCTGAGTATAATTCTCTTCTTTCTGATACCACACCCTGAGCGGCAACCTGAATAATCCACATTCTACGTGAATAACCCAAAGGGTGATGCAGATACCTGGATGCATGGCCAGATTTTCAGCAATGACCCAGGACCTTCCTTCTTAACCCCCTAAATATTTCTGTCCAACTTTCTATGTCCTGACTCTTGATTCTGTCACTCCTTTGCACTTGTTGACTGATCTTGAATTCCCTGAGTTATCCTTTCAGTATGCAACAAGCAATTTAGTTCAGACTCACATTTGTCTGGAAATAATAGAATAATTGCTCCCAGTTCTGGGCCAACTTTACCCAAAGAAACAGTAAGAGGTTGTTTATGTAATGTGATTTCTGAGACCCTGTGAAAGTATTACTTTCACCCAGTAGCTAAAAGGCTTATATGAAAAAATAGTTTTATAAATTTGTCTTAAGCATCACCTTTTTTTTCTTTTTTTTTTTTTGAGACGGAGTCTCACTCTGTCACCCAGGCTGGAGCGCAGTGATGTGATCTTGGCTCACTGCAACCTCCACCTCCTGGGCTCAAGTGAATCTCCTGCCTCAGCCTCCCTAGTAGCTGAGATTACAGGCACACACCACCACTCCCAGTTAATTTTTGTATTTTTAGTAGAGACAGGGTTTCACCGTGTTGGCCAGGTTGGTCTTGAACTCCTGACCTGAAGCATCACCTTGTTTTAAAATGGGTAATCATGATGTGTATTTAGCCAGAAAAACATTCAAGTGCAAGGTCGAGAAGAACAAGTTGTACCACTTTTAATCTATAATTTTGTTTTCACAATTGGCATACATAAATTTGAAAGTACTTCAGTTATTGATTTAGCTGCAGAATTATGAATTTTAGATAAACAATAAATAACTTTTAGTTTAAGTATGTCTCAAATATTGCATGGGACATACTTATACTAAAATATATATTGTTAATCTAAAATTCAAATTTAGCTGGGCATTCTGTATCTTGATTGCTTGATCTGGCAACTTTATTTGCTGGAGCTTCCAGCCTGACTACCCATAAGCAGCTCTCAGATAAAATGAACATCTTCTAAAACGCATTATGGTTTGGTTTGGTTTGGTTTTTGAGACGAAGTCTCACTCTTGTCCCCCAGGCTCGAGTGTAATGGCGCGATCTCGGCTCACTGCAACCTCCGGCTCCCAGATTCAAGTGATTCTCCTGCCTCAGCCTCCTGAGTAGCTGGGATTACAGGCGCCTGCCACCATGCCTGGCTAATTTTTGTATTTTCAGTAGAGAGGGGTTTCACCATGTTGGCCAGGCTGGTCTTGAACTCCTGACCTCAGGTGATCCACCCACCTCAGCCTCTCAAAGTGCTGGGATTACAGGCGTGAGCCACCACAACCGGCCATGCATTATGTTTTTAAATGGCAGTAATAGATTTGCATAGTAATATGCTGAGGATTGACCTCTGCTCAGTTGAGTTCAAATAATCAATAACATCTTCTTTCTAGTCTTCCTAAGAAAGAAAAGGAGGATGGAAACCAGATTAACGAAGATGAGAAAACAGTACTGCAATACATAGTTTTTACAGTAATTTCATCTCAGGGATTTCTAGGAAGCCTCCAAAAATATATAGGGTCATTGAGAATAACTTTGGCTGCAAGTAACAGAAAATGTAGATTCAAACTGGCTTAAATAATAAGGAAATGCAGGAACACCTGTAACTGGAAGCCCAGAAAGATAATGATGCCATGAAATCCTAGGTTGTCTCTACTACTCCCTTCTGCACTCCTCAGTGGCAGCTTCCTCTGAGAGCTGCTTCCCTTTGTCACAGCAAGCATGGCTCCAAGTGACAACCAGAGCTGCACACTTCCCTGACCACATTCAGTAGGAGAGAACATAAGCTTCTCCCTCCAGTCTGATTGAGCCAGCTCAAAGCGTGACTGCATCCGTGGACTAGTAACTCTCGTTATGAGAATGGCATGTGCTTATCTGTTTAGAAATCAGGGTTCCTCCTGGAGCTAAGGATGGGATGGAAATCTAAACAAAAATGAGATTTGAAAAGAGTTGATGAATTTTAGGTAGGCAACAAGACCTACTAAAATATATTATTGGTTACTTAATTTCTTATTCAAGTGGGCCATTAATTTGATGAGAAATCTGCCCTTAATGTGTCTAAAAGATTGTAAAACCACTGTATTTTGTTTGCATAACCTGATGACTTACATCTCCTTTGGTAACATACACCTGGATTAGAAATATAGGTAAACACTTCAATAGTTTTATATACACGGGTTTTACTTTTTTTTTCTGAGACTTTGAAACATCAACATGTTTAAAGTCATTCTTGAATCTTTCTTTTATGAAAAATAATAATGATGATGACACATTAAATTTGAATACATTCTTACTTGAAACATTTTTATATTCATCTCATTTGTGTTTCACAATAACCTAAAGAAAGGGCAGGTATTATTAGCCTCATTTTTCTGACAAGGAAATTGAGACCTACCTTGATAAAGAGAACTGTCCAAGATCACATTCAATTACATTGGAAAATAGAACAAGAATCTATTTCCTTTTGTCACACCTTCTTGCTGCATGGAGTGGAAAATTTTTATGCATATTTTTCTACCAGCACAAGGGCCTATATGTAACTTCTGGCCTATATGTAACTTCGGGCCTTAACATGGCAATGGGCAATGGGGTTGGGCATTGTTTTTTAAAACTGCAGGTACATTTGAATTGAAAATCATTGTGTTACATTTTTAGCAACCTTAACATCCCCAAATGATATGGTCAATAATTAATTTAGCTCCTTTTCTCATGCAAAGGAATCCTACACAAAGTTGTTTTACAACTAAGTCTCTTTTCATCCACTGCCATTATACAGGTTAGAATCATTTTTATTGTAAATATAGTCACACATAAACATACATAAACAGACACAAAATAAACCCTGAACTGATTTAAGCTAAAAAAATGCATTTGTTCACAAAGTGTAAAAGTCTAGAGGTATCTCAACTTCAAGGGCTCAAAGAAGGACATCAGTTACTGGTATTTCTTCATCTGCCCTCCTACACATGGGCTTCATTCTAAGGTTCTACTTGATGACATGGCAGCTGCCTTCATTTCCAGAATAAAACTTCTGAGTCTTAAGTTTAACACAAAGGAGAATGTGCTTCTCTACCACTACTCCCAGAAATGCCTCACTGTGTCCCACAGTCTCTGACAGGGCAACATGCCCAATACTACAGTTTGAATGGGCCCTCCAAAGTTATGTGTTGGAAACTGAATCCCTGGGGCAACAGTGTTAGGAAGTGGGACCTAGTTAGAGGTGGTTGGGCCATGAGGGCTTTGTCCTCATCAATGAATTAATGTCATTATTGCAGGAGTGGGTTTGTTATTACAGAAGTGAGATTTTTATTGAAGGAATGGATTCCTTATGAAAGGATGAGTTCAGTCTCTCCTGCATTCTCGCACCTTCTCTCACTTTCTCACCTTCCTCCATGGGATGATGCAGTAAGAAGGCCCTCGAAAGATGTCAGCACCTTGATATTGGACTTTCCAGCCTCCAGAACTATGCACCAAATAAATTTCTGTTCACTGTAAATTACTTAGTCTCAGGTATTTTGTTATAGCAGCGAAAAATGGACTGACACCCATCCCTCAAGGAATCACTGTGAAGAGAATATAGATCTCTGGTCAGCCAAGCCAGTTAAATGCCTACCTATGGAGCCAGGGTTGCAGTGAACTGCATTCAAAGCAAATAGATTAAGAGTGAGGGTCAAGTGGTTTCCTAGAAGAGAAACAGAGAAGGATGTTTAAGGAAAAGGGTGATTAGATGCTGGGAGTCAAAAATTAATATATCTACCACACTCATGAGCAAAAGCAAGAACTTATTCAGCATCATGAGAAACTATCTATTGTATCACCACCTAAATATTAATAGCATCTTCTTTTCTCCGGTCCTTTAGGAAACTGTATTATCCATCTTGATTTTTCCCTGTTGTGCAACATTGCACAGGGAATCTGGCCAAGGAACAATAAGGCACAAATTCTAAAGTTTGAGGTTATGTTTGTATTCAAAGAATCAGACTAGTATATATATTGCCATTTTTACCTGACAGATTAAGAATAATTAACTGGGTGAAGAAGACAATGAGAAGAAACTATGAAACCTTACTGCTTCTTAAAGGTTTTCAGTGTGAAGCAGAGAAGGGCCCTGGCTTCTGCTGAGGGTTAAAAGCATTTGCCTCTGAAGCTGGAATGATTTTACCAACAGGGAGAAAGCCTGATCATGGGGAGTTTTGTGGGAAAACTCAAACAGAAAGGGAAACCAAAAGCAGTAAAACTCAAACAACAACCAAAAAAACCATTCAAAGCTGGTTATCACTTAGAAGGTTGTTCTGAGAAGTTGCATTGTCCCTCTTAGCAGAACTAACTAGCTCCATATTAAATGACACAATGGCAATATCACAGACACCCATTGGGTGGAACTTTGCAGCCTGGTCACCATGGAGATGTTTCAAGTGCCTTCACATGAGCCTGCATTATTTCAGTCCATTTTCCAAATGACTGTAGATTTTATCCTGCTGGGTAAATTGCTTTCTGTTTCTCCTCTCTCTCTCTCTCTCTCCCCCCTCCCTCACCTTTTCTTCCTGCCACTATCAAAAAAAAAAGAATGAATAGATCCCTACCGTCTGAGATTTTAGAATCTGTACTAGAGATTAAGCCAAGGAGTTTAAAATTCTCAAATAGACACTTTATAATAGTATAAAAGGAATCAAATGCCAAAAACAATATGTAACAAAATATATGTAAGACTTTTACAAAGAAAACTACCAAATATTGAAAAAAAATAATAAAACCTAAATAAACTGAAGAATATACCAGTCTCATGAATTGCATGACTCAAAAATGTAAATATGGCAATTTATCCACAAATCAATCTGTAGATTCAATACAATGTATATCAAAATCTAAATCCCAGAAGCTTTTTTTAAGTACAATCTAATTTTTTTAATTTACTTGAAAAAGGGCCAAGAATTGCCATTAGAATGATGAAAAAGAAGAACAAAACTGGAAGACTTTATACTACAAGACATTGAGACATCATACCAAGACATTCTAAGACTATAATCATTAACAGTGTAATACATGTGCAAGGATAGAAAAAATAGAACAATGAAACAATATAGAAATAGATTCCATATCTACACTCACACAATTTTTGGCAAAGATGACATCACAGTGCCATAGGGAAAGAGTGGTATTTTCAATAAATGATGCTGGATCAATCGAGTATCCATAAAGAAAAAATCATGAAGCTTGAATTATAGCTCACACCGTACATAAAAGTTAATTGCAGATAGGTTGCAGGTGATGACATGAAAGGTAAAATTATATGTTTTTCAAAATAAAACAAAAGACAATATCTCACAAACTTGAGGTAAGAAAATGTGTCTTAAATAGGACAAAAACACACTAAATATAAAAAACAATTAATAAACTGGATGCTATTAAGAAGTTTTCTCATAAAAAGACAGAGTAGGGAAAAAATTCGAGATGTATATATCTTACAAAAGACTCATATCCAGAATATATAAGGAAAGAGACAGATAGTCCAATAGAAAAATGGGCAAAATAATTGAACAGGCACTTCCCAAAAGAGGATATCAAAATGGCCAATATACATATGAAGGAATGCTCAATTTTATAAGTCATTAAAAAAGCATACCAAAACCAAAATGGAAAACACAGAATACGCCAAGTGTTGGTGAGGTTGTTGAGTATTCAGAACTCTCATACATGGCTAGCTAAAAGATACGTTGATACAACTACCTTGAGAAAACTGACTTTGTCTACCAAATCCGAACACATGCATATCCTCTGATGTAGAAATTCCACCCCTAGGTAGATAGCCAACAAAAATGAATATATTCATCCAAAGACATTGACAAGAATAATTATAAAAGCATTATTCATAACTGCCAAAACTAGAAATGCCCTGAAATATCCATAAATAGCAGAATTTATACAAAGGAAAACTATTATGGTGTTAATTGTTAGGATGGCAATTATGTTTGCAGGGACAGTGATGAATGAGGGGGTGCATAACGGAAGTTTTCGAAATGCTAGTGAAAAAATGTGCTTTTGATATGAATGCTACGGACACATATGTTCACTTTGGTGAAAATTCACCATAAATTCATTTAAGATCTTTACACTTTTCCATGTATATGTTATGCTTATACATATACATGGAAAGATATCAAAACCTTAAAGAGGTTGTGATGCTGTAGATAAAAGAGGGAAGGAACACTGTATTAGTCCAGTGATCCCCAACCTTTTTGGCACCAGAGACTGGTTTCATGGAAGACAATTTTTCCATGGACAGGTTAAAGGACGGGTTTCCGGATTATTCAAGCTCATTACATTTATTATTAGATTCTCAAAAAAAGCATGCGACTTAGATCCTTTGCATGCACAGTTCACAAGAGCATTCAGTCTCCTATGAGAAGCTAATGCCACTGCTAATCTGATGGAGACGGAGCTCAGCTTTACTCACTCACCTGCCACTCACCTCATGCTGTGTGACCTGGTTCCTAACATGCCACAGGCTAGTACCTGTCCATGGCCCTGAGGTGGGGATCCCTGTATTAGTCCATTCTCACACTGCTGTAAATAAATACCTGAGACTGGTTTAATTGGATGATGGTTCTGCAGGCTGTACAGGAAGCATGATGCTGGCATCCACTCAGCTTCCGAGGAGTCCTCAGGAAACTTACAATCACAGTGGAAGGTGAAGGGTGAACAGGCATGTCACATGGCCAGAGCAGGATCGAGAGAGAGAGAGAGAGAGAGAGAGAGGAGGAGCTACACACTTTTAAATGACCAGATCTCATGAGAACTCACTCACTATTGTGAGGACAGTACAAATGAGGATGGTGCTAAACCATTCATGAGAAATGTGCTCCCATGATCCAAACATCTCCCACAATGCCCCACCTCCAACACTGGGGATTACTATTGAACATGAGATTTGGGTGGGGACACAGGTCCAAACCATATCAAACAAAAAGAGAGAAATGTTTGCAAATGCTCAGAAAACAAATGAATTGAAACAAGTTCAATGTTGGTCATCATTCTCTCTCAGGGTTTCATTCTCTCCGGGTTGTTTCATCATTCTCTCTCAGGGTTTGAGGAAACACAGGAAAATGTTTTCCCAGTCTGGTAGAGATGCCAATTCTATTAACATGCTGCTTTGGTTTAGCAAGGCCTATCTACATGCCTGCCCTTGATGACATCATCCAGTGTCCTGGTTTCAAGGGACATCTAAATGCCAATGACTCCAAAATTTATAAACCCAGCTCAGAACTCTCTCCTACACTTCAGACTTATATAGGTTGAACTATCCAAAATTGCTATTTTCATAGGTCAAAAGTGAGTGACTTCATATAGTTCAACTCATAAGTCAATTGCCTAGTTGATATTTCTAATGAGCATCTCTAATATAACTTATCCAAAACCAAATTGGTTCTATTGTGTCTTCGCATCTCAATACCTGGCAATCCCATCCTTCCTTCACTCTAGACAAAAAACCTTAGAGTAATCATTGACTCCTTTCTCTTTTAGATTATACATCTAATCCATTAACAAATCAATCCTGTCTGGCCAACCTGCTAAATATATCCAGAATAAGACAACTTCTCACCACCTTCATGTTATTACCTCAGTCTAAGCCACCATCATTGATTGTAAGACTTTTTGCAGTAATTCTGTCCATGTGCTTCCTTTTTCCTTTTTTCCTCAGCCCCCAATTTAGTTCCTGCCAGCAGCCAGAGAGATCCTATAAAATGCTAAGTCAGATTGTGTCTCTCTTCTGCTTAAAATTTTCCACTGGTTTCCCATCTCACAAAGAGTAAAAGCCAAAGTCCTACAATTGCCTGCAAAGGCCTATGCCATATGTCATATGCAATAAATATTTGGTAAATTAGTGAATAAAGCAAAGAAGAAAGTAATACATCAAAGACCTAGGCTCTTCCAGCTCCCTACTGCACCATCCTTCAGGTAAGACCCTTGTCCTCAGGGTCCAAAATGGCTGCTCAAACCTAGACATTACACCCACTTCCTAAGCAGCAGGATTGAAGAAGTAGGAAGAAGGCATGCCCTCTTTTTTCTAAAGAGATTCCCAAAAGTTCCACACATTATATCTGTTTACATCCAAACATAAGCCAGGGTTTCTCAATGTTAGCATTATGGACATTTTAGATGGGATAATTCTATGCTGTGATGAGCTGGCCTTTGAACCATAGGATGTTTAGCATAATCCCTGCTAGCATCCCTTCCAACGCCAGTAGAACAAAACACCCCACCACTAGTTGTGACACCTTAAACTATGTCCAGACATTGCCAGATGTGCCAAAGGGTAAGGGAGGGATATCTGCTAGTTGGGAACCACTGACTTAAGCTAGAAGAGACGTGGTAAATATCAGGATGGTGATATCACACAGCAAAGTGAGAATTCTGTATTTTGATGTTCAAGAGAATGGATATTTGGTAAGCAAGTAGCAGTCTCAATTAAGAAAAAAAATACTCCTCCCTAGAGGCAAGCACTGTAGCCAGTTTTTGGAGATTATTTCAGAGATATTTAATACATGCAAAAATAAATATTTTGTATTTATTATAGCCTATCTATCATTCATACTAATCCATGCCTTGCTTTCTTTTTACTTAACAAGGCAATTTTTCCTGGGATATAATATGACCTTTCTATCTATAGATGCAATTTTCTTTTATTTCTGAAAACTTTCTTAAATCATATCTGTATATATTGATTCCGTTTTCTTATTTAGGTTACCTTCGTCATTAACACCAATTATGGGTATTTTGGACTTCCTGTGTCTGTCTTTGGTATGTTATTTTTGTTCTGGTCTTTTTAAAAATGCTCAAGTGAATTTACATTTTGCTTGCCCTTATCTTATTTTCAACCATGTCTATCATTTTCAGTTTTGCGTTCATTCCTTTGTTGAACTAATTTTTCTTCCCCAAGTGTGCTCTGAGCTCTGACTGCTCCTGCAGTTCCTCCTTCTGATATTTCACCTTTTGATTTTTGTTTTCCAGTGGCAATTACTTTATTATGTTATTTTTCACTACAGGTAATACGTTTAATCATAATTTTTATTTCTCCATGGCAACATCTTTCTGATGAGTATTCTTTAGCTGCCACTGGATTTTTTTTTAATTCCCGTTTTTCCATTTTTTCTTCTAGCATCTTTGTACAAATCCTGTGGTCATTCCATTTTCACTGTTATTCTTGAGTGAGGTGAGTCTTTAAACTAAATATTTGTAGGAAATACCTAGGGTGTGCATCAAGAACCACGTGTCAAACTAGAAAGAGTTCTCTTTTTTGCATAAAACTGTAAGTCGAATTAAATTTTTTATACTTTTCTTCCTGACAGTCAACAGTAACCAGTAGCCATCTGGTCTTTTCACAATATAGATTCTCTCTTCCACCCTGCCTCATCTGCAGTTTGCTTCCTGACAATATGTGTAATTTCTCATTCAAGCCTGCCTGCCATCCTCTTTACCAGTGAGGCCTAACAAAGTTTCTGTAACTAGTCCTCACATATTCCCCCTGTTCCAAACAAGAAGAAGACCAAGATCACTAATTGCCACTAACATTCATTATCTTTTCTTCTTCTATCAGAACTGTTATATTATTGGATGTAGCAATACAAATAGCTTCAAAAATTGCTTTTCTTGTACTATTTTGCAGCTCTTTGTGACCATGTAGTAAGGTTCTTTGTGGATAACATTGTGGGGGAATTCTGGAACATCTCTATTAAAAGAGGACAGAAAGCCAGAGAAAGATCTTGTTTCCCATTCTACTGCCTAGAATATGGATTTGATGGTTGATGCTCCAGCAAACCCTTAGATGAGGAGGTTACTCTAAAGATGGAAGCCACACACCAGAATGGTGAGGCCAAAAAGCAGAAAATCTGATCTCTTGGTGGAGCCAAAGAGAAGAAACAATGAGGCCAAAAAGCAAAAAACTTGATCTCTTGATAACAGTGGAGCCACTAATCATCTATGGACTACAGATCTCTAGTCTTCTGACAAACTTCTGTTATTTTAGATGTTCTGTTAGATGCATTTGAACTTAATTCCAGCTAAAACAACAAAGCTTCACCCCTAAGGGTATGTTCCGAACTTTGAAGAAGTGTTCTGTAAGTCTTGTCTGAGATCAGCAGCCATTGACACATTCTCTTGATAGCAGAACCATGATTTGACTTTTATTGTTTTTGACATCCCTTCCTCAAATATTATGGTTCCAAGTTACATATGTCTCCTAATGTTCTTTTAAGATGGAACTTGCATTTTCTATTTTTTTCTTCTTTTTACTTAAATCTTAAAGTAAATAGCAGAAACACTTCCTTATTCTACTATTTTAAGACTGGAAGGAGGGTTTGGGTTTTTTTAAGAATAGAGAAGAAATAGTTTGGAAACTGCAAATGGAAATATGAAAGACACATTCTTTCTCTACTTCCAGGCTCTGATTTATGGGAGATGTAAGCATCACATAAGAAGTCTGCAGAGCCAGTGATATCATCAGGGGACAGCTTGTTTCCTTTAGAGTAAAAATACAACACTCAAAAATGTTGAGGATTATAGGAGCATTAGCTCATGGTAACCTGAGAGTTTCAAAAGCATAATAGAAGGAAAGGTTTGAAAAGGCATGGAAGTATGCAGGCTAGCTCAGAACTACATAGTCATTAAGGGCCATGAAAACAATGGGTGACCTGGGAGACTGGGCTTTTGTAGTGAATGAGTAAAACAGCCAGATGTCCCAGTAGCCTCCAGAGGAAGGCAAGTTCATTCTTTCATACTACATTTGAGATAGCAATAGATTAGATATATGATTAGATAGATAGAAGACAGACAGACCAACAGATGATAGATAGATAGATAGACAGACAGACAGACAGATAGATAGATAATAGAAATGTGATTTGGACAAATTCCCATGTGCACAAATACTATTGTCTTCTGAGGTCCTGCCATCTCTTTAGGCTCTTGCTGTTATAACAACTTCAGTCTTTCATCCCCTACTTCCTTCCCTCTACTTCCTACCATTGAGCTCTGATTAGATGACACTTCCCTAAGCCAGGAAGAAAAGTGTTTTGTAGGCAACCTCTGCTTCCACCTTGATGCAAACTCTCCTGAGGGAAGGAAACTTAGTGCCTGGACTCTTGCTTCAATGAGGAAATGAAAGAAGAAAATACAGGGAAAAGCACAAATTATAATGTCAAATATTATTGTGCTCTCAAAACAGTCCCTTCCCTCTTAGTCTTCTGAGGTCCTGCCATCTCTTTAGGCTCTTGCTGTTATAACAACTTCAGTCTTTCATCCCCTACTTCCTTCCCTCTACTTCCTACCATTGAGCTCTGATTAGATGACACTTCCCTAAGCCAGGAAGAAAAGTGTTTTGTAGGCAACCTCTGCTTCCACCTTGCACCTTGATGCAAACTCTCCTGAGGGAAGGAAACTTAGTGCCTGGACTCTTGCTTCAATGAGGAAATGAAAGAAGAAAATACAGGGAAAAGCACAAATTATAATGTCAAATATTATTGTGCTCTCAAAACAGTCCCTTCCCTCTTAGTCTCCATACAAGGATAAGCCCTCCTTTCTCTGCTGTGACAACAGCTAAACCCTGCTTTTCATGTTGGCAGAGTAGCAGGTGTCTTCTTGGTGAAAAGCGGACTTCAGGAATTCTCTACACCTGGACATCTCCCTTGCTCTGGTTCCTGATAGATTCCTTTTGACTTTAATTCTTTGAGAGAACAGCTTTGCCAATGCTTTTCAATGAAAATTTCATCCAACTTTAAAATATAAAATATATAAAACATGTTGCCTCTGTGGCTGAAGTAGAGGCAGGCACCCCATTCTCAGCCACCACTGGGTACTGCCATCCTCACCTTATTCACCCTGCCACACACACACACACACACACACACACACACACACGCAGAGTCATCCCTCCTAAAATCCCTAGATTAACCACCTCATGCTGGTTTGCCCAGGGCTTTCCAGGATTTAGCACTGTGTGTTCTATACTCTGGAAAACACCAGTTCCACGTACACTGGGATGGTCAGTCTCCCACACAACCCTAAACACACTTCCATAATGGTTTGAAAATCACTGATTTAGAAACAATGCATTGACTCATCAATACAGGGCACATGTTTAGTTACTATTGGTTATTGCAGATTAGTATAAATTAGTTTATCAACTAACTTTCCAAGTGGAGGCAGGTGGAAAAGGGGATTTGATGAAGAGAAAGAAGAGCTTGGCCACTTCATGGCATGCCTTGTTGGCGCTCTCATCAGAGTCAAATTCATTCACAAGGTTCTAGCCCCCAGGACCCTGCAGGGATGCACTAGCTGAACACCTCTGTAATTTAAGTGGTACCTGGATCCATGCCTGCCTCAACAGGAAGAAATGTGAGAAGGCTGGAACAAGATGCTCCCAATTCCTATACCCACTCCTTCCCTAAGCAGTGTGTTCTCTCCTCATATTAGGAAACAGGTAATCAGGGTTGCAGAGCAGACTGAAACTAAAGCCCATGCAGAGAGCAAACTTCAGACCTTGACTTCATTAGAATAGCGCTCTAACCAAACTAAGCAGCCTCAGAGAAGCCTGCATAATTGACTTGGAAACACGTTCAGGCACAGGAGTCTCTCACAGCAGCTGGAATCAAGGCCCAAACCAGAGAACAAGTGCCCAGAAGAGAAAGGGACTGTTCAAAGATACCCAGATGATCCCCTGTCTTGGCAAAGTTGTCCAGGTGCTCATGCAGCTTTAATGAAGCCCAATTCTAATTAATCTGTGACCTTATTCAAACCAACTGTTTCCTCGTGCCTCGAATGCCTCTCCAGATTCAGATGCCCTTTCCCTCAAGTGGAACGCAAAGGCCTGTTTTCTTAATAAGTTTAATTGAAAGATGGCTGAACCATGGGTCTCTCATAAACAGGGAATTCCCCACCAATAGGAGTTGCAGAACAGAGAGGTGTCAAAGATGTGGCAGAGACATAATTCAGCTTCTACAACCAACATTGATGAAAGGCTGGCTTCAGCCTGTCTCTTCCGTCAACAGCCCATCAGACACTTGGCAAATCAAAAGCAGCACGTTGTGTTTAGAATGGACACACTCGTGGAGGCAGCAAGGAGACTGTGGAGAGATGGATTGAGACCATGAAGGCAGGTAAGAGAGGTGCAGTCCAAAGAAGGGAGCAGCAGTGAAAGGGTTAAAATCTACCTGCTGCCCTCTAAACCAGAGTATCAGGGCATCTTTTGTGCTACAAAGGGCTTCCAGGTGTCCCAGATGTTGAGCCCCTTACTTAGGCTCTGAGCAATCTTCTTCATTTCCCCAATATGCTATAGGATTGTAATCATCATTATGTGTGCTATGTTAAATGATGTTAAAAGTGTTGGGAAGCACTGATATAAAGCATTACTTCTCTGTCTCTGATTCCTGCCTCCTAAAAACTGCATCTGTTCTTCTTTTCTATCAGAACAAATACCCGCATCAACCAAAACTAACCAATGGGGTATAGAAAACGCGGGCAGCACTGAGGCCTCACCATCCCTGTAAGATATTCTGAGTGGATTTGAATGTATGTCACTCTCCCCAAAATCTTCTAATCCAAACACTTACATGGCTTCCTGTTTTCCTTAGGATAAAGATCAAAGTCCTTACCAGGGTTTGGAGGGCTGCCCAGAGTCTGACTTCTTGTGGCAGCAAGGAGCCTTAGTTACTCACAAAGGAGCCCACTCTACCTGGACTCAGCAACGTGTCTCATCCTTCACTTCATTTGATCCTCTCATACTCCGTCAAAAAGATTATTTCCTTCCCGTTGCACCAAGTTGCTAGTCCAGCCTGTGTGAGCACCTAGCTCTGGGATCCATCCAGCTAGAAGGAAGAGGATATATAGGATGCTGTCGTTGGCATTTTCCAGATGCTACTCTGACAGGGATGGAACTGTGCAACCTCTTTGTGAAGAAGCATTGGCCTTGCCTGTCAAAAGCAGCATTTGCCATATAGTCGCTCAGGGTCTGTGTCACAGGATCCTTAGGTCAGGAACTTTCCTCTAACTGTTGGCTGGGGAAAGGGTTACCTCGCTGCAAAATTGAGAAATGGATATTTGTCTCTTTTGTTGTCTTTTTCCTCTACTTCCTCTCCTGATGCCTGTTTGTGCCTTTTCCCAGTCCCAGACACCTGATCATCATTCTCAGTAAACTATTGCAAGGACAAAAAACCAAACACCGCATGTTCTCACTCATAGGTGGGAATTGAACAATGAGAACACATGGACACAGGAAGGGGAACATCACACTCTGGGGTCTGGTGTGGGGTGGGGGGAGGGGGGAGGGATAGCATTAGGAGATATACCTAATGTAAGTGATGAGTTAATGGGTGCAGCACACCAGCATGGCACATGTATACGTATGTAACTAACCTGCACATTGTGCCCATGTACCCTAAAACTTAAAGTATAATAATAATAAAATAAAATAAATAAAAAAATAAGATAAAATAAATCCAATTCCCAAGAAGCTGTGTGCTTAGGGAGTTCTCAAAAGCATCATGGCTGAGTCTCTTAGGTGTCAGCCCTCTCAGGATTATGTAAATATTGTAAGTTTCTCCAAATATTAAAGCTGTTCAAAGTTAAAATAAATAAATGGCTAAGAATAAAAATTTGGGCATGATGCCTGATGAAAAGAAAAACAAATGTTAAGGCATAAAGTCTTGATCAGTGCCTCAAATTAATTTCAAAGATGGGTCTTAACTTCCATGCACATTGCTACATTGTCCACTTCCCTAGAGGGCCCAACACTGAGTGCAGCTATTAGCAAAAGGAGAGAGAGACAATGCTAGGCACATGCCAGGAGTTTAAACACTAAACGGTTATTTAGCAGAGATGGAGACATTTGCAAGCAATGCGTGACAGCAAAAGGAAAGGGCAGGTGAGGCATTTCAGAACAACTGTCCAGAACTACATCGGGCACCAGTGGATTTTGTGAGCAGCTGAGGATTTGAGCTTTGCTGGCTCAGCCTGGCTTAGAGTGCTGGGGCAGAAAAGAAACTGGCTCTAGAGGCCATCCTCCAAGGATCTTGAACGTTTCATTTTTTTAGGGTTTTTCTATCTAGACATTGAAGATACAGTGTGAAAATGAGCCTCTGTCATTTTAACAAGGTCCTTTTAAATCCACAAAGAACAGCCCCATCGATCAAGAAATTATTCTCATTCGTCACTTTCTAGCCTGTTGCCTCGGGATTACGGTGGGTTGCCAGCAGAGACATAGGACCACAGTTAATAAAACATTTTTACAGATCTAGGCTGCAACTACGAAAGACACAATTAATATTCACACACAAGCATGCATGCGTGCCCTTCCCCTCAGCATCTCCAGACTCCCATTACAGGAACCCTCCATTACTCAAAACTAATCCCAATGAGAAGCAAGGCCTATGACTGGTTAGTGTGTGTGTGAAATCATTTTAGTAGTACTTTCATGGGAAAGTGACCCAGAAGACACCAGCTGAATATGATAAACAAGAAGTAGCATAATGTATAAAGAGCTCTAGAATCAGACAGAATTGGGTCCGAATTGGGCTTCTTCATTTAGTAGCTGTGTGACCTTGGGTGAGTTGCTTAGCCTCTCTGGGCCCTAGTTTTCTAATCACTGGAACGGGGATAAAGATATTTATTTTGTATGGTTGTTGTAAAGGTTCAAGAACATGTGTTTAAAACACATATCCCAGTGCCTGACACTTAATGAATGGTAGCAATTGTTACCGGTAATAAATCAGCATATCTGTGCTCTCTCCTGTCACCTTCTCCCTCTCTCTCTCTCTCTCTATCTCTCTCTCAACTTGTACCTACCATAACCACACTGCTGTTTTTTGCTTTGGATGCCTACATGACCAGTTGGTCTCTCAAAAAAAATTTATCAACTAAGACCAGGTGCTGAGCAATAAACTAGGTCATATTCCAGACACCACTATTACTGTTGTCAGCAATAACTGATTTCAGCTTTCTGACATACATTTGGCTATTTTGTGTCCTGCTAACATCAGGGAGCAATCTTACATTGGGGACCCTTCCCTCCCTAATGGAAACATTTGGAGAAAGTGGGAGGAAATTGCTATAAAGTGAGCATAGAACAGAACAGCTGGAAGCGGCCTCCTAATAGGCAGTTTTTCATGTTTTGACAGGTTTGAAGCAGACTATGACAGCAAAAGGGGTACACACAGGGACAGCGTAGCAGACAGCACTTCCTGGAATGGAAGCTTCTGCAGGCTTCCAGATGTAGCTGCTGTCCTTACCCCGCGTGTTTATAGTGGCTCCAAAGTCCCCTTCCTGGGGACTCCTAGGGACATACATCATTGTCAGTTTAGCTGCCAAGTCCAGCTCCAGAAAGGCACCTGGAAAAGGCAGCACAGCTAATGAAAGCAAGGCAATCAAGAGAAAAAGACAGCTGGGCTGGGGGCCAAGGGGCCTAGGGTCTGGCTTCCATCCTTCCACTAAGTGAACTTTGGCAAGTCTTCTTTCCACTAAGGGTCTCAGTTTCCTATCAGCAAAAAGGCTGTCCTGAGCCCTCTTCCCACAAGAGGAATGCTGTCAATAAAAGCAATAAAAGGTGCTTGCTCTATTTATCTGTACTTTCTACTTTTTCTACATGTACACATATCATTTGTGGGAATGTGTATTTTCTACTTCTTAGGTGTGTGTATATGTATATATGTGTGTGTGTGTGTGTGTGCACACACACTTAAGAGGTAAAACACTAATATTAGCTTATTTTATTTAATAATTTATTTATTGTATTTATTTCTACACACACTTAGGTAGAAGAAAATTAGCTTATTTACTTATTATTTTTCTACCTCTTAAGTGTATGTGTATACACACACACACACACACACATATATAGTGTGTGTTTGTAGTCATTTGTTATGGAAGTCATAGAAAACCAAAACACAACTCTAAGAGTACACACGCACTTAAGAGGTAGAAAAATAATAAGTAAATAAGCTAATATTTACTGGGCATTTCTTACATGCCAAGGATTGTAATAAATACTTTATATTCATTATCTCATGAGAAGGAGCCAACTGGACACACCTGCTGCTATTTGCTACCCAGCATCCATTCCCCCTCTCTCCTGATAATGCTCTAAATTTCCCTATGAAAAGCAACCCCTCATTGCCATTTGCCCTCATGTGGTTTTGTGGCAATGACCTCAACCCCAGTTCCAGGGGTGGATCTTGATTGGCTTAATCAGTTTACACACCCTCTGTTCCTCACCACAGTGACTGGTTGGTTCTCTGATTGGGCCGACAAGACCTCAGCAGTACAGTCAGAAGAAACCTCAGTAATTCACCATGAATGTTGAGATCATCTCTTTCATTCCTGCAGAGCTTGAACATGGAGCACATGGCCCCATTATGTGCCAGCAGACACTTTGGGCACATCAGAAGATATCCTTCCAAGTTGAGAGCCATTAATGAGGACACAGAGCACAGAAGTAAAGAATGAGAAAACGGGCTCAAGATCCCAGACCAAGCACTGCCTTACGCTACTATGGCTCCTGGACTTTATTGCTCAAATAATTTGATTTCAATTTTTTGGTTTTGTGCAAAACCAAAACATGCCTTATCAATGTAGGCAAGTGTTATTATCAATACCATTTTATAGATTAGGAAACTGAGTCTCAGTGGAGCTAATCCACTTGCCCTAAGTTACACAGTAAGTTTGTAGTGGAAACACCATTTGAAACCAGGTCCAACTGGGTTAAAAACCCAAGCTTCTTAAGCACTATATTTTGCTACCATAGGTAGGGAAAACTGGAAATACCTTGAAAATGAGAACATTTTATAAAATGCAACCTTTCATTATTTCAGGAGTAGATTTCGAATCATCACCTCAAACCCCAATTGAAATGGTCTCGCTTTGTCACCTAGGCTGGAGTGCAGTGATGCGATCATAGCTCTCTGCAACCTCAAACTCTTGGGCTCAAGCGATCCTCCCACCTCAGCCTACCAAGTAGCTGAAGCTATACCCCTGTGCCTGGCTATTTTTTTTTTAAGAGATAGGGTCTCACTTTAATACCCAAACTGGCCTCGAACTCCTGGGCTCAAGCCATCCTCCCACCTTAGCCTCCCAAAGTACTAGTATTACAGGCATAAGAAACCATGCCTGACCTAAATTTTGAGCCACTGAGTTTGTAATAATTTGTTATGGCAGTCATAGAAAATCAATACACAACTCTAAAATAAAAGATTAAGCAAAAAAAAAAAGATTTCTTATTTTAAAAATTTGGCAAAGGAAAGCAAGCTGAGATCTTTATCTCCATAAAGGATGAAAAGGAGGTGAAGATCAGTAGCATTCCTTTTTGTAGCAAAGTAACATGAGGAAAAATTGGCCCTAAAAGTCCAGAGTAATCTGAACTAGATATAAGGAGGAATTTGCTACCAAAGTTGGTAAGAACTGAAATTCACTTCCAAAGGTGATTGTGCAAAAGTCCCTTGATTGGCTTCCTGAAGGAGAACACTGAAGCACTGACAGGCAACAATTAGACAAGAATTTAATTAGATTTGCTGGAAAGCACAATAATAATGACTTAGGATGTCCTTGGACACACTGTATGATTAGAAGAGGCTGTTAAGTACTGAATTTCTGCTTAGGAGGGCTGGGAAGCCAGGGATGCCTGTTGTTTGAGCAGATGCATTTCTAGCACAGGCACAGAATCTAGGGGGGGTTACAGTTTGTGAGCTGTCCAGAGTGGCTTCCGCATGCCGACAAAAGGAGATGTGTCAGCTCTGAGTAGATGCATTACTTACCAGCACAAGGGGGACTGTATCATGGTTTGGAGGGTCATTCATAACTTTCTCAGAGATCAGAGTCTAGCCATGGATCAAGACCAAACAGCTCAGTGTGAGCTCATAAACAGTATCATATAATGGTCAAGCATATGGGCTCTGAAGTCAGAAAGCCCTGAATTTTGCCATTTACTCACTGTGTGGCCTTAAGCAAGTTGGTGTCTGAGTGCTTCAGCTTCTTCATCAGCAAATAATAAGTCATTATCCCGTTAGGCACTTGTGAGGATTAAATGACATATGATATATAAAGTATAACGCCTGGATCATAGTAAACATTTGTTAAATAAATGGCTGTTATTATTTCTAGTAGTGTGGTCAGGCCTCACTGTGGGCTGGAACAGGGTAATCAGGTAAGAGTAAAGGGAGTGTCATATTAAAGAGCCAGAGAGATTGGAGGAATCCAAAATGCAAAGAGAGAACAAGGAACCAGGGAGCTTGCAAGCAAGGAGTAGCAAAACAATTGCAGCATCAATATTCAAAGCACCAGATTTACGTGAGGAGTACCTTAAGGCACTTTGTAATATCACCTCCAGCTGCTGCTCCTCCCTTGGCTTGGAAGGACAAGGTAGGGATCTAGGAGCAACTTGCTGGAGATAAGAAGTAGACCCAACACCTAAAAAGACTATTCTGCAGGGCTTCCTAGGATTTCTCATTCTTCCCTGATCTCTACCAGGGATGGCAAACGCTTAGCTTTCATAGCATCATTTCCTCTCCTCCAATGCTCATTCCTTTCACAAATATTTATGTGCCATGTGCTGGGCACCATTCTAGGTATTGGAACAGACCAGGAAATACAACAGGCATAAGCCAGTCCTGCCCTAATAAACTCCATAACCTAGTCCTTCTGGCAAACATCACTAACCAGTTAATGGCATATTTCCCTACTCCAAACCCCTTCAAGTCCTTTTCAGTGCAGTCCAGTTCTCCAAAAAGCCACTGCCAATCAATTAGAGTTGACACTTGGGAATAAAGATCACTTTTTATTCCTGCGTTGAGCTCCTGTGATTTCTGAATAGAGGCATTGATCCCTTTACAGATGTAAGCCATTGTTTCACAGTCCAGTGCTAATGGGGAAATGAGACCCCAAAAGCAGCAACTACCACTGTAGACGTTTGGAAGCCATTGGCATTATTGTTTAGACTATTCACACTGAAGTGGTCTTGAATACCTATCTCACTGAAGCATCCAGGAATTCTACTGATCTAGGCTGAACATTTGATGACTGATTGATGAGATGTTTAAATACCATAATCCCAATTTCGTTTATTATATTCATTATTTTCTTTCATTTTATAACTGCAGATTCAGCCTTCAGTCATCCACTGTTTCCCATTATCCCCCTCCTCCACACACACACACAACTTGAGGCACCTCAACAATTAGGTACGTAGCTGGGTATGCATCTGATGCATTTGCACAGCAGGCAGCCACATACTGCAGGACCTAAACCATGATACGATGAAGTCAGTGGGGCCAGTTTCCAGGATCAGCTCTTCCACTGACTATGTGGCTTTTAGGACCCATTCGCTCATCTGTAAAATAAGAATCACAAAACTCATATCACAGTAACCACTGCCTAGCTCACGTAGTTATTCGGAGACTACAGGATAGTATGTTACTAATCAAGACTTGTAATGTCCCTAGGCATTATGGACACTTGGACACTAGGTGGCAGTATGTCACCTTCCACCTCTTCACCCAAGTCAGAGGGACCAGGTGCACCTCAACAGTTGCCCTCCAGATGGCAGCCCAGAACATTCCCCAGCACCCAGCAGAGAGCCCATAAAGCTGTTTGCATTATAGCATCAAAGGGAAAGGACTAGACCAAGCAAAAGCCATTTAACACTTTCTCTCAATATCTGAATTGGGAAGTAGAATATTAAACCACAGAAAAGTAAAAGAGCAACAAGTAAAAGTCACTGGACAGTGGAGCCATAGAAGGGAAATTTGTGACCTCATGGTGTCACTTGGCAGTGAAACCATATCTCAAGCTCAGCCCTTCTAACACCAAATGCATACCCCAGCCTCTGCGTTAGGATGTCAGTTCTGTTTCCAGGATGAAGGGTATGATGATTTACCAAATCCCATAGTCAGTAAGGAGTCTGGTCCTGAGATCAGAGTTTCCTGACTCTCATTCCACGTCCAGACAAGCAGATCAGCCATTCGACTTTTTTCCTCTGTCTTATCTCCTCTCTCTCTCAAGCTTAATATGAAACTGTTTTCCAGCGTTAAGCTGAGGGCAAAATAGAGTAACAGAAAAATGCAGTGGCCACTAACCCCAAGAAGCTACTCAAATCTAATTTAAATCAAATAAAATTAAACATTTACTTTCTCAGTTACACTAGCTCAATAGTGACCTGTAGTTAATTATTGAACAGAACAGAGGCCGGGCATGGTGGCTCACACCTGTAATCCCAGCACTTTGAAAGGCCGAGGCAGGCAGATCACGAGGTCAGGAGTTCAAGACCAGCCTGACCAACATGGTGAAACCCTGTCTCTATAAAAATACAAAATATTAGCCAGGCATGGTTGCATGCACCTGTAATCCCAGCTACTCAGGAGGCTGAGGCAGGAGAATCGCTTGAACCAGGGAGGCAGAGGTAGCAGTGAGCCGAGATCACGCCACTGCACTCCAGCCTGGGTGACAGAGCAAGACTCCATCTCGAAACAAAACAAAAAAAAGAACAGCACAGATATGGGACACTTCCATGTTCTATTGTAGCACTGGTCTAGACCATCGGAAATGGAGAATGTGCCACTACATCATTCGATTGCTTTATAATGAGGTATACCATGTTGCAATTAGAAGAATCAGTGGAAAATAAGAATGGCATTCTTGATAGCAAAACAAAGAAGTTTACATGAAGGTAAGTGAAATTTTAGAAGAAAATATTTACAAAATAGATTAGGGGAAAATTGTTAATATGCTTTATAAGTTAATCTAAGAGTGGTGGACAAAGCATGACAGATAATTCAAGGAAAAGAAATTAAAATGACAACAAAATGCTTGAAGTGATTCTCAACACATCAATCATTTAAAAAAAGAAAATAAAAGCCATGAGATAAATTAAATGGAGCCAGAAAATTACAGAACCTGTTTAATCAGGTAATGACATTTTCACCAAATAATACATATTTATACATGATCATGCATGTAAAATGTGAGATAAATTTAGAAATGGAAATCTTTTTCTGAAAACAAAGACGTAAAATATTATACAGATTTTCTTATATTGTTATTATTAATTGACATCATACTTTCAAATAGTGCTAGCATTTCACTTTACTCTGTTTATGATGAATATCATGCCTATATTAAACCTCTTCTCTGCAGCCAACAAAATCTAAATGAACAGTCTGCTCAAAATGATAAAATGAGAAGTGTCTTATCTGTGGGATAGTTGGCATGTATGGATGTGCTGTTGAGTTGTTGAGGTTTTTTAAATTCCCTGAATGTCTGCATCCCACCAAGTTGCATACAAATATCCACTTGTCTATTAGGCTGGGCGGGCGCGGTGGCTCACGCCTGTAATCCCAGCACTTTGGGAGGCCGAGGCGGGTGGATCACCTGAGGTCAGGAGTTTGAGACCAGCCTGGCCAACATGGTGAAACCCCGTCTCTACTAAAAAAATACAAAAAATTAGCCAGGCGTGGTTGCGCACGCCTGTAATCCCAGCTAGGCTGAGGCAGGAGAATCGCTGGAACCCGGGAGGCGGAGGCTGCAGTGAGTTGAGATCGCGCCACTGCACTCCAGCCTGGGCGACAAGAACAAGACTCCGTCTCAAAAAAAAAACAAAAAAAAACAAAAGACATTAGTCAGTACTTTAACTTGAACTTGCTTAAGGAAAATCGTAAGCTTAATAGACTCATAGAATTTAAAAATCCAAAAATGGCTCTCACTTCAGGCTCAGTGGATCCAGGGGCTCAACCTATGTCATCAGAGCTTTTTCTCTCACGGTCTTCAGTGTCTGTTTCCTGCTGGGTATGATGGCATAATTCTCTCCCACAACAATCTTGTGGGATAGGAAGGTGACAACCAAACTCATTTCTCTGCATCCCTGTTTAGCAACCCTAGTGGAAAGAGATTTTTGTCTCCCAACCTTCCTAAGTTAATTCTAGAAATAGAGTCTGGTTGTTCTGCTTCTTTTCCTGCGACGTACTCCCACCGCTCCATTTCCAAGGCAGGGCTGTCCTATCATGCCACACCAGGGGGCGCCATTCACATTGACGTGCATGTCAGTGAAATCATTTGGAGTTACTAGAGTTGTGCCACGTGGTGCCCCTGTTCCCAAGGATAGGATGTTATGAATGGACAGTCCTGAATCATATAGTATCCCTGTGCCCAGGAAAGCAGGATTTGCTTCCAGAAGAAACAAAATGAAAGGAAAACATTCCAGGGAGCCAAAAATAAGCCCATAATCCATCTCAATGTATCACTGCACAGTGAGAAGAAAATTCCACACCAACCCTCCCGTTGACTTCCTGTGAATGGACGTAAGAGCAGAGGGGAGGTAAACACAGCACCTTTTAAGCCCTCAGAAGAAATCAGTACGTGTCTGCAAGATATTGAGGTAGGGAAGGGGTGGGGGGGTCTCCTTTCTTTTAAGGAAGCAAGAACTTCTCTCTCTCTCTCAATCTCTCGCAAGAAAACTTTCTGCTACCTTACTGTACAAATGACAAATTCCAGCCTGCCTCCTGAACTATAGCTAGCCTCTGCTTCAGAATCCACTTCCAGTCTCAAGAACATTTTTTAAAGAGCTAAAGCTTAGAAACAAGGCACAGGAACTACCTTGTGTTTGCAGTATCTCATCTTTTCCCATTCTCAACTCTGGTGGGTTCATGGATTTCAGGGTGTGCCCTTGAGCACCTGCGAATGAATCCACAGCATCAGTTCAGGGAGGCCATCAGAGAGGCAGCTAGGTGAGGCTGGGCCACCTGGTGCATGCAGTCCCCTCTGACCTCAACAGCCAGCCTCATGCCTCCCAGTTCACCCACAGAGCTGCCAGAAAAAGGCCAGCAGCCAGGTGGGAGCAGGCACCCTCATTTGCTTTTCATCATCCACAGCCCATCTCTCTGAAATTAAATGATGTCTTTTCTTTGTTCCTTTTTGCGTGTTGTGCAAAGAAACTGCTGAGGCACTTTTTAAGAATACAGATTCCTAGATCTCCTCTCAGACCTTATGATATGAATATCTGGGGACAGAAGCCTGAAGATCTGTATTTTTCTAGTCCTCCACGGTGATTTTGATGTCAGGGTTGAGAACCACTGTAATCATACCCTTGCTTGGCCCCTATTTAGACACAGGCATTATAAACAGAAAATAAGACCTCAGGGCAACTCTAAACCAGTTCTCCCTCCATTAACTCTTCACTGATTTATCTTACTATTCTCTACTCAGGACCATTTACATTCTTAAAAATTATAGAGAACCCCAAAGAGCTGTTGTATATGTGGGTTCTATCCATCAATGCTTACAACATTAGTGATTAAAATGGAGAAACTTTAACATATTTAATAAACCATTTACATGTTAACATAGTTTTATAAAATTAACTATTTTCAAGAATCAAAAAAATAGAAGAATGGCATTGTATTTGATTTTTATAAATCTCTCTAATGTATGGTTTAATAGAAGACAGCTGGGTTCTCGTAGATACTTTTGCATCTAAGCTTTCGCTATATCACTCATCATGTTGTTTCTGGAGAATTCCCCTATTCACTCATGAGAGAATGAGAGCAAGACATGCAAATAAAGGCTTGGTATAATTAGAAAACAATTTTGACTTTATGGAGATCCCACTGAAAGGGTTTCAGGGTCCTCCAGACCACACTTGGAGGACCACTGTTTCAGACTATTCCTCATACCACATTATCTTTGCCAGCACTTACATACTCATTCCTCTAACTTCAGTGTTTATAAATTTTGATGCTTTTTTATTGTTCCTGATAGTTGACTTGTTTCCCTAATCATGTTTGTCTGTGTGAAAATCATTAGCATTAAGAAACAGAAATCCACTCAAGCTAGGTTAAACAAAGGGGGATTTATGGGAAAGATACAAGAGAATCTCACAAAACCCCAAGTGGGAGGTGTAGCCAAGTCTCCACTGTGTTTCTCCCTAAGCTTCAGGACTCTGCATGTGGGCCCCCTCTCCACACTGCATACTGGCATCCTCTAAGGCTCTTACTCCCCAAGCAAGGCTTTGGGTTCCCAGGAAGCTATCTCTAACTCATTGCCTTGGAGTCCCATGTCCAACAGCTTCTTACCAGCAAGACTTGTGTCTTGATTCCAAAACCTTAGGTGAGAAAATTTGGTTGGCTCTACTTAAGAAGTTCTTGGGAGGGATGGTAGAGCTCTTCTGATGTCTTATTTATACCCATAGAGAAAAAGCCTGCATCAGGGACCAAGTGAGTAAGCAAATATCATAACACTGGTTCTCAATCCTGGTTGCCCAGTGCTGGTCTAATTAGATGGGATCACCAAGCCAGGGTTCTCAGTGCATTGTGCTGTGTGGTTTCACCTAGAACAGGATATGGATAGTGCAGAGGTAATAGGCATACCTAGCACAGACTCCCAGCACTTTTTAGTAGAAATGTAATAAGCATGTATGTAATTTTAAAATTTTAATAATCACATTTAAAATGTAAAAATAAACAAATGAAATTAATTCTGTTAAAATGTTTTAACCCAACATATCCAAAATGTTAACTCAATGTGTAATCAGTATAAAAAGCATTGGTGAGATATTTTACAACCTTTTGTGCTAAAGTCTTCAAAGTCAGTGTGCATTTTATACTTACAGGACATCTTAATTGGTACACTAAATGTTCATCAGAAAAATCAGAAATAGTTGATCTATATTTAAAGTATACAAAATTTATAACTAAAAAAGACCCACAGACCCAAAGTTGTTCTAAACATACTTAAAAGTTTTCTAATAATGGAATAAAATATCCGTTTTAAATGAAAATGAATTATAATTAAGTTAAAAATTTAGTTCCTTGGTAGCCTTAGCCACATTTCAGGGGCACAATAGCCACATACGACTAGGGGCTACATTTTGGACACAGCAGGTCTAGATGGAGACCCAGAATCTGGCCTCTTCTACTCCTTTGAGACTCCCCTCAATATCAGCAGAGCACTGTCTAGTACAGACACCCACAGAGTATAGCTGATGGAAACTGTCCAAGTTAGAATTGCTCAAATCTAATTGCTAACTTCTGGGCCCTTAGAAGTTCCATGTAAATGTTTTTCTTTAACAAATTACATCATTTTAAATGCATTCAAGAGGCTTGTTAAAGGAATCCTATAATCTCTTAACTCATTCATCAAATAAATCACCTTTCAGTCATTTGTTTTGTTTTGTTATTTCAAAAAGAAAAAAAGATTTGCTTATATCAGATTTATTTTAAGCAAGGCAGGGGCTTACAGAAAACCCACTGAAGTCCATTCAACAAATGAATAATCTGAGAAGCCATAAGTCACACTCCACCCATGGGAATCTAAAGGGAGTTTTGCAAAAATCCATAACAACATAAACCTAAATGGTTCTGGTTCTGTTTGACTGATCCTGGTTGCACTGTTTAAGTGTGCTGGTACTCCAGGGCTGCTGTGAGTGATGGAAATCATGACCAAAGTTTGGCTTATTTCACTTAACATAGTATCTTCTGGTTCCATTCACATTGCTGCAAATGACAAGATTTCTTTCTTTTTATGGCTCAATAATATTCTATTGACCACTACACATGGTATGCACATATCAAAATATCACATGTACTCCAGAAATATGTACAATCCTTATGTATCAACAAAAAAAAATGACAACAACAAAACACGTTAGTCAATAAGCTGACAGCCTGGAGCTCTTTTCAACAGATAGCACTGTATTCAAAAGGACTTCTCCACGACTCCACAAATCTAGTTTCCACAACAATTTCTGAAATTTGATGCCTTTATATATGCAAGTTACATTTTAAAGTTGGCCTATAAATACATAGACAATTTTGACTGAATGGAATTATTTGAACCCTCATTTGTTCAATCAAATAAGCATTTGAATGTTTAGTATCAGCCAGATGAGCTGTTCCTTTGTTCATTCACTCATGTATTTCTCAAATCCTCATTGATTCCTATCAACACTATCAGGTGCCATGCCAGGGAGCTAGAAACACAAAGAAAAGCAAGAAACAGAAATAGATCCCACCCTTTAGGATTCATTGACCTCACAGTTAATTATGAAAGTCAGATATATACATAACCACAAAATAGTGAGATTACATACTATTAAAAATACATAAAATTCTGCATCAGGAGGATAGAGAGGAAGAGAACTGAGGAAGATTTTTGAATGGAGATACTCCTGAGATGGGTGTAGAAAGCTGGGTAGCAGTCACCAGGCAAAGGTGAGGAAGGGCATGGGGAATGAATATTCCTGAAATGGGAACAAGAGCTGCACAGGTGCCTCCTACCTGGTCTCCCTCCTTCCACTCTTACCCCACTACAGTCTGTTCAACAGTCACACAGCTATCAGCATGATCCTTGTGAAATACCAATCAGATTCCATCACTCCCTCATCTCAAACTTGCAATAATTTCCTCTCCCACCTGCAATAAAATCCAAAGTCTTGGTCATGCCTTCAAGGCCTTACGTGATGGGCTCCTTGGTATATTAGAGACCTCCCTTGGTTCCACGTCCTCCCAGCCACACTGGCCTCCTTGATGTTCTTCAAACATTCCAGGCAAGTTCTCATCTCAGGGCCATTGCAAAGTGCCTTCTCTGGCCATCTCAAATAAAATAGAACCCTGCTGTCACTTTCTGCCCCTTTTCTCTGCTTTATCTCCCTGCACAGCACTCAGGACTCGGACAGTACATGGTCTATGTAGCTATTTGCCTGTGCATTGTCTGACTTCTCCACTAGAATGCAAGTGCCATGAGGGCAGGCCTTGATCTGTTTTGTTCACAGCTATAGCACTAGTGCCTAAGACAGTACCTAGCATATGGTGGGCTCCCCCAAAGTATTTTTAGGATGAAGAATTAAATGAGGCTGGAAAATATGCATATTTCAAGTGCTGGCAAGTATCCAACATGGCTACAACATGGGAGTGAGGGGATAGGGGGCCAAGGTAAGAGCCACTGGAAATGAGGTTGGATGGGTGCTCAGTGACCAAGTAATAAAGGGTGCTGTACTCCTGGCTAAGAGTTTGGGCTACATTCTGAGGACAACGGGGAGCCAGTGAAGCTTGTAAGGAAGGGCATGGTACATGCAGGTCTGCTTATTTAAAAGAGAAATCAGCTTGCCATGCAGTAGATAAATCTGAGAAGAGCTTCAGGCAAAAAGGTCTGTTGGGATACTTTCGCAGTCACCTGTTTCTTCAGCTTTAAAATGCAGATAATAACACAATCTTAGTCACAGGCTGCAGTGATGACTAAGGGGGTTGATGTACATAAAGTACGTAGCACAGGACCTGGCACATAGGATGCTATCAATAAATATTATCTATTACCACCAACATTTAGGGAAGCTTGAAGGATGATATCTGTGCTTCTGCTCAGATGACTGTGTGGAAGGTGCTGCTGCCTTTGATCTCAATATAAACTATAGAAATAAGAACTCAATTGTGGGAACACAGAATGAATTCTATTTTGGGCAAGTGCAGTTTGAAATAGCTGTGGGATATCCAGGTGAGATCTGTGGTATGCAGTCTGATATAAGGGTCTAAAGCTCAAAAGGGAAGTTTAAACCAAAGCTCAAGATTCAGAGGAATCCCTTCCTTTACAAGCAATTGTCCTGGTCCCTTGTGAGCAAACTCTGAATCCAAAGTACTCAAAAGTAAACTCACTAGAGTAAAAAGCCCCAAGAAGAAACCATCATATAGAGCTGAAAATACCACTGCAAGAATTGACTATAATTCTGAGCCCCTCAGGACCCCTAGCAATGTTCATATAGTCCTTGTTTGCATCCTCTTTGAGCACACAGAAAAGAGCTTCATATGCTTATCACATTTACCACATCCTTCTACAAGTCCTCCAATTTCCTATTTTCCAATGTGCCCCTAAAAGAAAAGGCTAAATAAGCTCCAGAAGTCTGTACATTATAACTGACAGACCTCTTAGCTCTGAAGGCATTTTTTTCTGAGCTCAATGAATTTCAAAACAGTGTTCCACTTCTACCCCTGCTTCAAGTGTCTGAGAATACACGTGTGAAGTATAATGTCAAGTCCTTGGGGATGTGGCTCCCCAGAGTTATCTGGGGCTAGAGATATAAGAAGAATAGGAAGTACAGAAATGGAGCTGGCTCTGCAGCTAGTACAGCAAAAATGGCTTGAGGTTTACTTACAAACAATCGACATTGGTGCCTTTGAAAGGGAAGTGGAACTAGCTTTGATAGACATGCATTCTTTCACTTATTCATTCAACAAACAGCTATTGAGGATGTAATATACCTGCCAGGTACTGTGCCAATACAGAGGAAGTAACAGTCAACAAGAAAGATTTGATTCCTCATGAAGCTTCGTGGCTTCAAGGGTTTCCTGTTTGTCAGAACCTTAAGGATATCTAAAATGTAAAGCAAACCTTCTTAATTTTCATTCATTCATTTACTCATTGAACACATATTTATCAATGGTGCTGTGCTGGCCTCTGGAAGTCACAATGTTCACTAAGACAAGGCAGTTACAATTCAGTTTAAATGTCATGGGAAGGCAAGTACTGTGTGCCAGTGGAGGCTGTAGGAAGGGCCCTGTGATAGCATAACTTGTCCACAAATTATCTGATACTCCTCTCCATTGAGGGGAAATGTCTATGTCCCCTCCCCTTGAATCTAGGCTGGTTCTGACACTGTGCTTACCAGTAAAATATGACGGAAGTGATGCTTCACCCAGACTGTAAAGAAGTAGCAATATTCTTTCTTAGAATACTTGTTCTAGGGGAAGCTAGCTCCCATGTGAATAGATACATCCTGAGAGTACCATGTTGTGAGGAACCTCAAGCTAGCTTAGAAAAGGATATGGGGAAAGAGAGGCCAAGCAAGCTTTAGCTATTCCAGTCATTCCAGCCAGGTGCCAACATCTGAGTAAAACAGCTATCTTGGATATTTTATGTTGGATTGAAAGTCCTCCATGGATAGCATTTAGTCTGAGACCCAAAGGATGAGAATGATTTTGATATACAAGGACCAAGTGGAGGATTATTCCAGGCAGCGGAGTGGGATTATACAAAGATCCAGAGTTGGCGAAGCTCCTGGAGTGTTCAAGGAGCTGAGAGTAGGTTTTAAAATGGTGGTATAGAGGTGAGCTGGCTACATTATCATCAACCCCCACAGAAAACCAAAAATATATATACAGTACCAAAGTTTTTGCCAGCAACAACCCAGGACTCAAATGTGAAGATGAGATAGATCTTGAGGTCATGGAGAAGTGAAAAACCTCTGAGCAAAGGATGGGAGAATTTACCTACCATCTAGGCTCTGAGGATGCCCTTCCCCACAACCCACATTCTTCCCGGCAACAAGTGTGCAGGTAATTTTACCCAATTCACAGTTCCTACACTGGAAAAAGTGAGATTGAGGTGATCATCCAGCTTTCCCACTATCTTAGGTTGCCTGGCAGGAGACCTGTCCTTGCCTTAACCCATGGGAAGTGATTGCCTGAAGGAAGAAATATCCCTAAGGACAGGCAGAGACAAAGGGAGGAGGAGGGACTAGCATCCTGAGCCCTGGAAAGTCTGCTCTGTAACTTGGCCAAAGGAGATGCCAAATCAGGTAGCTGTTAAGCAGCAGTACCCTGTAGGAGGTACATTTCATAGGTCCATTGGGCATGAACCCCTAGCCAGCCTTCCCACACTGCTGGGATAATTCCTTTGAAATTTAACCCCATCCAGGACAGGCAGTGCTCCACTCATTAACTAGAGTCAAAGCAAACCTGGGCTTAAGGCACAAGGCTTAGAACCAAAAAGGGAGCAGTGATCTAACAGTATTTGCTGAGCAAATATATCCAAAGAAACAAAACAAACCAGAGAAAACTAGAATAAATAATTAATCCTTTATTGCAAAGACATTGTCATACATCCACAAGAAACAAAGCAAACTGGGAACTATGACCTCCCCTAAAAGGACAAAACAAAAGTTCAGTCACTGACCCTAACAAGACAGTGATTCGTGAGCTCTCTGATCAAGAATTCATAATAGCAGTCTTGAGGAAACTTGGTGATCTCCAAGATAACACAGAAAAGCAATTCAGAAATGTATTGAGAAAATTTAACAAAGAGATTGAAATTTTTAAAAAATCAAATGGAAATCTTGGAACTGAGAAATACGTTTTCTGAACTGAAAAACTCATTGGAAGCTCCTAACAGCAGAATGGACAAAGCAGAGGGAAAAAAAATCAGTGAGCTTGAAGACCGGCTATTTGAAAATACACAGAGGAGACAAAAGAAGAAATAATGAAAAGGGATGAAGGCCTCCCACAAAAAATAGAAAATTACCTGAAAAGACCAAATCTAAGAATTATTGGTGTTCAAAAGAAAGCTGAGCAAGAGCAATGGGTAGAAAGCTTATTCAAAGAATAATAGAAAAGTTTCCAAAACTTGAAAAAGATATAAATATCCGAGTATAAGAAGGTCGGAAAACATGAAACAGATTGAACCCAAATAAGACTTTCCCAAGGCATATAAGAATCAGACTCTCAATGGTTACAGACAAAGAAAGGATCCTAAAAGCAGCAAAAGAAAGGAAGTAAATTGGCATATAATGGAGCTCTAAATCATCTGGCAGCAGGTTGCTCAACAGAAACCACGCAGGCTAGGAGAGAGTAGAACAACATTTTCAAAGTGCTCAAAGAAAAAAAAAACTGCCATATGAGAATACTGTACCCAGAAAAATTATCCTTCCATAAGAAGGAGAAAGAAAGTCGTTCCCAAACAAACAAAAGCTGAGAGAATTCACCACTATCAAGGAGGTGAGAGTCAACTAATATGGCTGGAGCATGTAGAGTAAGGGGGCGAGGCAAAAATTAGGTTGGTGAGAAAAACAGGGACCAGATCAGGCAAGGCCTTGTCAGCCATGCTAAGGCATGTAAATTTTGTCCTAATTACAATGGAAAGCTCTTAACCATTTTGAATATAAAAGCAGTATGATCTATATTAAAATCATAAGAGGATCCCTGTTGCAGCTATGCCAGTTTTGTGATGCCAGCTCTGTAGCTTTGTTAAATACTCTATTTTTTGGCAGCTATTATAAAAGGGGTTGAGTTCTTGATTTGATTCTCAGCTTGGTCGCTGTTGGTGTATAGCAGAGCTACTGATTTGTGTACATTAATTTTGTATCCCGAAACTTTGTTGAATTCATTTACTAGTTCTAGGAGCTTTTTGGAGGAGTCTTTAGAGTTTTCTAGGTAAACAATCATGTTATCAGCAAACAGCAACAGTTTGATTTCCTCCTTACTGGTTCGGATGCCCTTTATTTCTTTCTCTTGTCTGATTGCTCTGGCTATGACTTCCAGCACTATGTTGAATAGAAGTGGTGAAAGTGGGCATCCTTGTCTTTCTTGTTCCAGTTCACAGGGGGAATGCTTTCAACTTTTCTGCATTCACTGTAATGTTGTCTGTTGGTTTGTCATAGATGGCTCTTATTACCTTAAGGCATGTCCCTTCTATGTCGATTTTGCTGAGGGTTTTAATCATAAAGGAATGCTGGATTTTGTCAAATGCTTTATCTTCATCTATTGAGATAATCATGTGGGTTTTTTTAAATTCTGTTTATGTAGCGTATCACATTTGTTGACTTGTGGATGTTAAACCATCCCTGTATCCCTAGTATGAAACCCACTTGAACATGGTGGCTTATCTTTTTAATATACTGTTGGATTCTGTTAGCTAGCATTTTGTTGAGGATTTTTGCTTCTATGTTCATCAGGGATATTGGTCTGTAGTTTTCTTTTTTTGTTATGTCCCTTCCTGGTTTTGGTATTAGGGTTACACTGGCTTCATAGAATGATTTAGGGAGGATTCCCTCTTTATCTTTAAGAATAGTGTCAATATGATTTCCACCAATTCTTCTTTGAATGTCTGATAGAATTCATTTGTGAATCCATCTGGTCCTGGACATTTTTTGGTTGGTAACTTTTTAATTACTATTTCAATCTCACTGCTTTTTATTGGTCTGTCCTGGCTTAATTTAGGAGGGTTGTTTATTTCCAGAAATGTATCCGTCTCCTCTAGGTTTTCTAGTTTGTATGCATAAAGGTGTTCATAATAGCCTTGAATGAGCTTTTGTATTTCTGTGGCATTGGTTGTAATATCTTCTGTTTCATTTCTAATTGAATTTCTTTGGATCATCTCTCTTTTCTTGGTTAATCTTGTTAATGGTCTATCAATTTTATTTATCTTTTTAAAGAACCAGGTTTGGGTTCATTTATCTTTTGTATTTTTGTTTGCTTCAATTTCATTTATTAATATTTCTGTTCTGATCTTTGTTATTTATTTTCTTCCACTGGGTTTGGGTTTGAATTGTTCTTGTTCCTCCAGTTCCATGAGGTATGACCTTAAATTGTCTATTTGTACTCTTTCAGGCTTTTTGATGTAGGCATTTAATGCTATGAACTTTCTTCTTAGCACAGCCTTTGCTGTATCCCAGAGGTTTGGATAGGTTGTGTCACTGTTACCGTTTAGTACAAAGAATTTTTTAATTTCCATCTTGATTTCATTGTTGACCCAATGATAATTCAGGAGCAGGTTAATTAATTTCCCTGTATTTGCTGGTTTTGAGGGTTCCTTTTTTTTTTCTTTCTTAGACGGAGTCTCGCTCTGTCACCCATGCTGGAGTGCAATGGCACGATCTCAGCTCACTGCAACCTCTGCCTTCTGGATTCAAGGGATTCTCCCACCTCAGCCTCCCGAGTAACTGAGATTATAGGCACCCGCCATCATGCCAGGCTAATTTTTTTAGAAATGGGGTTTCGCCATGTTGCCCAGGCTGGTATCAAATTCCTGAGCTCAGGCGATCCGCCTGCCTTGGCCTACCAAAGTGCTGGGGTTACAGGCATGAGCCACCGCACCCAGCCGGCCAGGTTGGTCTTGAACTCCCGACCTCAGGTGATCCACCTGCCTCAGCCTCCCAAAGTGCTGGGATTATAGGCATGAGCCACTGCACCTGGTCTTGAGGGTTCCTTTTGATTTCCAATTTTATTCCACTGCGGTCTGAGGGAGTACTTGATATAATTTCAATTTTCTTAAATTTACCGAGACTTGTTTTGTGCCCTATCACATGGTCTATCTTGGAGAATGTTCCATGTGCTGATGAACAGAATGTATATTCTGCAGTTGCTGGGTAGAATGTTCTGTAAATATCCGTTAATTCCATCTATTCTAGGGTATAGTTTAAGCTCATTGTTTCTTTTTTTTTCTCTCTTTTTTTTTTTTTTAGTTGGAGCCTCACTCTGTTACCCAGGCTGGAGTACGATCTTGGCTCACTGCAACATCTGCCTCCCAGAGTCAAGAGATTCTCCTACCTCAGCCTCCCAAGTACCTGGGATTACAGGCACCCACCACCACTCCCAGCTAATTTTTGGTATTTTTAGTAGAGATGGGGTTTCACCATGTTGACCAGGCTGGTCTCAAACTCCTGACCTCAAGTGATCCACCTGCCTCGGCCTCCCAAAGTGCTGGGATTACAGGTGTGAGCCACAACACCTGGCCTAAGTCCACTGTTTCTTTATTGACTTCCTGTCTTGATGACCTGTCTAGTGCTGTCAGTGGAGTATAGTCCCCCACTATTATTGTGTCGCTAGCTATCTCATTTCTTAGGTCAAGTAGTAATTCTTTTGTAAATTTGGGATCACCAGTGTTAGGTGCATATATATTTAGGATTGTGATATTTTCCTGGAGGACCAGTCCTTCAATCATTATATAGTGTCCGTCTTTGTCTGTTTTAACTGCCATTGCTTTAAAGTTTGTTTTGTCTGATATAAGAATAGCTACTCCTGCTCGCTTTTGGTGTCCATTTGCATGGAATATCTTTTTCCACCCCTTTAAGTTTATATGAGTCCTTCTGTGTCAGGTGAGTCCCTCAAAGACAGCAGATACTTGGTTGGTGTATTCCTATCCATTCTGCCATTCTGTATCTTTTAAGTGGAACACTTACGCCATTTACATTCAACGTTAGTATTGAGATGTAAGGTACTATCCTATATATCATGCTGTTTGTTGCCTGAATACCTTGTGGTTTTTTACTGTTATTGTTTTACAGGACTTGAGAGAGTTATGCTTTAAGGAGATTCTATTTTGGTGTATTTCCAGGATTTGTTTCAAGATTTAAAGCTCCTTTTAGCAGTTCTTATAGTGCTGGCTTCGTAGTGGCATATTCTCTTGGCATTTGTCTGAAAAAGACTTTATCTTTCCTTCATTTATGAAGCTTAGTTTCACTGGATACAAGATTCTTGGCTGATAATTGTGTTGTTTAAGGAGGCTAAAGATAGGACCCCAATCCTTTCTAGCTTGTAGAGTTTCTGCTGAGAAATATGCTCTGTTAATCTGATAGGTTTTCCTTTATAGGTTATCTGATGCTTTTGCCTCACATCTCTTCAGATTTTTTCCTTCATCTTGACTTTCGATAACCTGATAACTATGTGCCTGGGCAATGATGAATTTCCCAGGTGTTCTCTGAGCTTCTTGTATCTGAATGTCTAGATCTCTAACAAGGCTGGGGAGGTTTTCCTTGATTATTCCCTCAAATATGTTTTCCAAACTTTTAGATTTATCTTCTTCCTGGGGAAAACCATTATTCTTAGGTTTGGTCATTTAACATAATCCCAAACTTATTGAGGCTTTGTTCATTTTCTAATTCTTTTTTCTTCATCTTTTTCAGATTTGGGTTAATTTGAAAGTCTTATCTTAGAACTCTGAAGTTCTTTCTTCTACTTGTTCGATTCTATTGCTGAGACTCTCCAGTGCAATTTGCATTTATTTAAGTGTGCCCTTGATTTACAGAAGTTGTGATTGTTTTTTTATTTATGCTATCTATTTCACTGAAGATTTTTCCATTTATATCCTATATCAATTTTTTTAAATTTCTTTCAGTTGGACTCCACCGTTTCTGGTGTCTCCTTAATTGGATTAATAATCAACCTCCTGAATTCTTTTTCTGGCAATTCAGAGATTTTTGTCTTGGTTGGATCCATTACTGGCAAGCTAGTGTGATCTTTTGCAGGTGATAAAGGAGCTTGTTTCATCATATTAACAGAGTTGTTTTGCTGGTTTCTTCTCATTTGAGTAGACTATGTCAGAGGGAAGATCTGGGACCCAAGGGATGTTGTTCAGATTCTTTTGTCCCACAGGGTGATCCCTTGATGTGGTGCTCTCCCCTTACCCCTAGGGATGGGGCTTCCTGAGAGCCAAACTGCAGTGATTGTTACTTCTCTTCTGGATCTAACCACCCAGTGGAGCTGCCAGGCTCCAGGCTGGTAGCGGGGAGTGTCTGCAAAGAGTACTATGATGTGATCTGTCTTCGGGTCTTTCAGTCATGGATACCAGCACCTATTCCAGTGGAGGTAGTAGGGAGTGAAGTGGACTCCGTGAGGGTCCTTGGTTGCATTTTTGTTAAATGTGCTGGTTTTATGTTGGATGGCCTCCAGCCAGGAGATGGCACTTTCAAGAGCCCATCAGCTGTGGTTGTATTGGGAGGATCAGGTGGTGGACAGGGCCATAGAGCTCCCAAGAGATTACATCATTTGTCTTTGGCTACCAGGGTGGGTAGAGAAAGACCATCAGGTGGAGGCAGGGTTAGGCATGTCTGAGCTCAGTCTCTCCTTGGGCGGGCTTTGCAGCAGATCTGTGGTGGGTGGCGGGGTGGTTCCCAGGCCAAAAAGTTATGTTCTCAGGTGGATTATGGCTGTTTCTGCTGCATCACACAAGTCACCAGGGAAGTGGTGGGAAGCTGGCAGTCACAGGCCTCACCCAGCTCCCAAGCAGCCTGCAGCCTGGTCTCACTCCCACCATGGCCCCACAACAGCACCAAGTTTATTTCCAGGCAGCCAGTGAGCAGGGCTGAGAACTTGCCCCAGGCTACAAGCCTCCCACCTGAGAAAGCAAGCAGACTCACAATTCCTCAGCTGTCCTAGGGAGCCTGCGGTGGCAGTCCACCTCCTTCAGATGGATTTTCTCAGCTTTCCTGGTATGTTCCTGTGGTAGTTCTTGGAGTAAAATTCATGATGTGGGTCTCCACATGCTGCTCTGTCCATCCAAGTGGGAGCTGCAAGTTCTATTATTGCATTCACCTGTTACTTGACAAATTGGTCAGGAACATAGTCACTGTTTTTTATAGCATCTCCTGGTTTTCTAGGGTATTAAGTATATGAGCCCCGTCCCTCTGGTCTCTGATACTGGCACCATAATTTCATGAGTTGTTCTACCTTCTGAAGTTCCTACCAAAGTCATGAGAAGCCAGACATCTTCTGCCCCAGAAGCTCCTTTCCCTTTAGAACAGTTCTCAAACCTGAGCCCACATTAGAATCACCTGGAGGACTTGTTAAAGTGCTTACTGTTGGACCACAGCCCCAAAGCTTCTGATGCAGTAGACCTGGGAAGAAGATCAAGAATTTGCATTTCTAACAAATGCCCGGGTAAGGCTGATGCTGCTAGTCTGGGGTCCACTTTGAGAACTGCCTTAGATGAGCATGCACCCAATTTCTGTTTCTGACTGGAGGGTCTCCTATATTTTACAAAAAGGTTCCCAGAAAAATTCAAGAACCAACAAAAGAAAATTTCTTCCAAGTTCTTAACATGAAATCTAGCTGTTCTTGTTTTAAACAGTGGTAGGCATGGAGCCAAGGTGAGTGGTTTCAAATGTTGGTCTGCCTGGTTTAAAAACTGTGTATCAGCTGCAAGGCCTGGGCCAAGTACCTATCTCCTATGATCACTATAAGGATTAAGAGTTAATGCAAGCAAAGCACTAAGAGCCTCAGCTGGCACTGGGTAAACATGTGATAAATGCTAGCTGTTAGCGTTATTATTCCGAAGCGTGACTCATGTAATTGGTTTTTTTATGATTTTCACATAAAAACTAGTAGAAAGTTCAAATTTGTGACCTGCCTCTGGAAAATGTATAGGATTGCATAGCAAGCATTTTGGGAACAAATTTCATTTCCAGCTTCATCTAACTTTTTAACTTATCTTTTTCTTAGGACTCAACTACATTACTTCATTTTAATGTATCTTCTCATAATAAATTATTATATGAGTAGCTGTATGCCACTTTAAATTCTTTCTTAAACAGGTGGATCCTATGTATAAATAAATAGTTCTTTATTTATGCAGCCCCTCCATGGATAATCAAGGGGTTTCGGGTTCTGGATTCCTACACCCCAACTTCTTTAGGAACCTGATCATTACAGCTTTACATTATCGAGCACCTTAAGCACACATTAATAACAAAAAATCATGTGTAAGAACCATATTTATGAATGCAGTTGTTTTACTTAACCCCTTAATTAAATTTGTTTTTGATTCTTGGAATGATAGAGAGTGTATTCTACAAAATCAAGCTTCTATACAATTTTGCTACCTTTCTTTTGTGAAGATATTATTGACCTTCCACTGACAGACACAGTTTTTAAGTGGTTTTTGTAGCCTTCACTCATTCCGAAAGTAGTTATTGAGTGCCTAATGTATGTTGCACATTGTGCAGAGCGTTAGGGAGGTGATAATGCTCAAGACACTATCCTCAAGGAATTTAGACACATAAATAAGCAGATAATTCCTACAAATAATACTAGACGATGCATGTTTTGAATTATAAAAATTGATATTTATTGGATACTTGAATTATTCTGCGCATTTTACATGAATGATCGCCTTTTTATCAACACATAGACCCTACACTGCAGGCCCTACCATTTTTCTCACTTTGTCGTTGTGGAAACTGAAGCCCAGAGGCCCCAAAGTCATGCTGGGTGTAAGGGGCAGAATCAGGCTTCAAACTCAGGCAGTCTACCTCTAGGGTCCACACCCTGAAACTCTGTCTGATGCTGCTTTTCTGCAATGTATCATGAAAGCTGCAGGGATAATGTTTCCAGGGATGTTTGGACCCAGTGATATGAAAAAAGCCACTTTGGACAGAGAAAAATAATTAGCAAGAAGAGAAAGGGCGGGACCCTTGGCAAAGCACATTAAGTAGCAGAATTAGGTAGATTCTGTGGCATGCAACCATGGGTAGAGGAAAGGCTGAATAAGCAGCCTGTAGTAATGACCCGTAGAGCCATTGGAGAGGGGCCACTGTAGCAAATTGCAGCACCAGCCCCCAGGAGACCGATGGGCTCCACAGATAGTAATTTATATAATGTTCAAAATCAGCACTTTCCATGGAGTTCATCAACAGAGCAAGAACCGTAAGAACTAATGTCTGAAGAGGCACTTGCCTTTTGCCTTCACATGTGAAAGCAGGGAGTGGATTTTGCAGACAGGCATCGTCCAAGAATTCTGTGTCTACATGCACTCAGTGCTTTAATGTTGGATACGTGATATATAGGATTTCTTAATTATCTTCCATGTCTGCATTAGGGTCTTGCTTCATTTACCTATTGCTAAGTAACAAATAACTCCAAAACTTAGTAGTATTAAAAAAACTACCATTTTATGGAGCTCATAATTTGGCACGTTAGGACATCACACCAGAGCTGAGATGGTTATGAGATGGCTTGAATGCTTAGAGATGGCTCTCAGGATAGTCAGACGTGTGACACGGCACTGGCTTCCCCTAAAACAAGCATTCTACGTGAGGATGCTGCTGCTTCTTTAAAGCCTCAGAAAAGCACCAATTCTGCCATATTCTACTGGTCAACACGGTCACGATCAGCCCAGTTTCAAAGAAAGGGAATACATATACCTCCTCTCACTGGAGAGGAATGTCAAAGAAATTGTGGACAAGCTTATTCCATCACGGGGCCCTTCCAAAAGCCTCCACTGGCACACTGTACTTGCCTCCTCGTGACATTTAAACTGAATTGTAAACTGCGCAGTCTTAGTCAATATTGTGACCTCCAGAGCCAGCACAGCATGATTGATGAGTATTTATTCAATGGGTAAATGAATGAAAATTAAGAAGGTTTGCCTTATATTTTATAAACCCCCAAGGCTTCTGGGAAACGGAAACAAGTCACCCAGATATATTACCTAAATTAAATCACTAAAATGAGTTACTAAGAGAGGTGCCATAGAAATGTGTATATATGTATACATTTATAAATGATACATTATATATACACAAATGTGGTAGTTTTATAGCTATATGAGAGAACAGAAATAATAATGCTACAATTGAATAACTCATTACTTATGTAGTGCTTACCATGTAAGCCCATCATGAGAATTGCCTCAGTACAAGAAATTCAGATCTCTTATGGGATGAATTGTGCTCCTCAACTCCTCAAAAAAAATTCATATGTTGTAGCCCTAAGCTCCAGTAGATCAGAATGTGATTATATTTGGAGACAGAGTATTAAGTTAAAGTGAAGCCGTTAGCACAGGCCCGAATCCAATATGACTAGTGTCCTTATAAGAGAAAGTTAGGACACAGACAGACACAGAGGGAAGACCATGTTAAGACACAAGGAGAAGACAGCCACCTACAAGCCAAAGAAAGAGGCCTCAAGAAGAAACCAACCCTGCAGACACCTCGATCTCAAAGTGCTAGCCTCAGGAGTTGTGAGAAAATAAATATCTATTGTTTAAGCCACCCAGTTTGTGGGACTTCGTGATGGCAGCCCTAGCTAACTAACACAACGTCCCAGGAGACAGAGAACAAATCCTCAAGCAGCACAGAACCCCGCCTAATTCTCCATCACATGCCTTGGGGATGAAGAGAGGGCTATGGTTCTTACCTAGAAGCACAGGAGAAGACAGCAGCCACAGAACCTGATACTAGATGCCCAAGGAGACTAACAGAGACATCTAGACTAACTTCTAGAGTAGATAAGAAACAACCAAGATAAGGAACCACTCCTCAGAATGTCAGAGGGCATCAAGTCCCATAATTACGGATGACTAGGACTCAAATTATTTTATACGTCTGCAAAAGAAACAGTGATCCCAGGATTGGAGGGCTTGAAGACACTGGGCTCAATCTGGAACAAAAAAGGTATTTTCAATATAGGTGGAGCTCTGCCAGTAACACTTGCTTCTACAAAGGAAAGATGTTCAAAGTTCCCCCAGGACTGGAAAGTGCCAGAAAGCCAGCTGCCCCCTGCTACAGCTCAGGGAGTCTCCCTCTGCCCCAACCACTACCAGCCCTTCTGTTGCAGCAAGCAGAGAGTTCTACTC